>NC_000012.12:115793461-115944976 GCF_000001405.40 Homo sapiens
TCTCATTCATAAAATGAGGTTGAAGAGCCTCTACCATATAGACTCGTTCTAAGGATTAGATTAACAATATGTTCAACATTAACTGAGCACCTACTCTCTGCCAGGATCTCTGGAGCTTATCTCCTAGCAGGGGAAACAGACAGTAGACATTAAGAAATAGTAAGTTATTTTGAATGTTAAAAGTTAAGTGCTGGCCGGACGCAGTGGCTCACACCTGTAATCCCAGCACTTTGGGAGGCCGAGGCGGGTGGATCACGAGGTCAGGAGATGGAGACCATCCTGGCTAACACGGTGAAATCCCGTCTCTACTAAAAATACAAAAAATCAGCTGGGCCTGGTGGCAGGCGCCTGTAGTCCCAGCTACTCAGGAGGCTGAGGCAGGAGAATGGCGTGAACCCAGGAGGCAGAGCTTGCAGTGAGCCGAGATTCCACCACTGCACTCCAGCCTGGGCGACAGAGCGAGGCTCTGTCTCAAAAAAAAAAAAAAAAAAAAAAAAAAAGTAGTTAGGTGCTATTGGAGGGCAATAGAAATGGTGGAAAGGCCGGGCATGGTGGCTCATGCCTATAATCCCAGCACTTTGGGAGGGAGGCCAAGGCAGGTGGATCACGAGGTCAGGAGTTTGAGACCAGCCTGGCCAGCATGGTGATACCCTGTCTCTACTAAAAATACAAAAATTAGCCAGACATGGTGGCATGCGCCTGTAATCCCAGCTACTTGAGAGGCTGAGGTAGGAGAATCACTTGAACCCGGGAGGCAGAGGTTGCAGTGAGCCGAGATCACGCCATTGCACTCCAACCTGGGTGACAGAGTGAGACTCTGTCTCAAAAAAAAAAAAAGAAAAGAAAAGAAAAAAATGGTAGAAATAAGGAATAAGGATGGAGGAGAGGAAAGTTGCCATGTTGAATTGATTAGGGTGAGTTTCACCAAGAAGATGAATCTGAGCAGAGACACGAAGAGAGTGAGGAAGTGAGGAGGTGGGGAAGAGCGTTCCCGTCAGAGAGAACAGCCAGTGCAAAGGTCCTGAGGTAGGAACATGTTGTCTGGTACAGTCAACTGCAGCGAGGAAGCCACTGTGGCTGGAGAAGAGTGACCAAGGAGGTGGACAGGGAACAAATAAGGATACAGTTCCTATAGGGCCTTGTGACCACTGTCAGGACATGAACATGGGACATGCTTAGTGTGGCCTGGCCCAGAGAAGACTCCAAGAAGTGGAAGAATGGCAACGAAGGTGATGGTGAACATGCAAACAATATGATGTGCTGTCCAGCACTCCAGCAATAACATCCAGGCTAACACAGGCGTACCCTCACCTTCCTGAGCTGTTCTGAGGATGGCAATATGAACATAAGCCATTTGCACTTTGAACCCATGCTGAGAAAATTACTCCGTAAACATAGGGTGTTTCCTGCCATCACAAGTCTTTATCATGTGTCTGACACCATTATCACCAAAAGGTCACCAGGTGGCACCCATTAGCAGGGCTAACACTTCTGCTTAAGCGGCCCAGTTCTTCACTTCCTCCTGATATCAGCAGAAATAACCCTGAATCCAACCTATCTGCCCCATGAATAGTGTGTGTTCCGCACTCATGGCCTTTTGCTCAAACCGAGTGGGCCACTACCTGGGTAATGTGTTGTATACTTATCCAAATTATCTGAATATTATTGACACCAACTGACAAGGCTCCAGGCTACCAGTATTGACATCATCAAACCAGCCACCTATCTCATCTTGACTCTTGATTCCTGGAAGCTACCACAAAGTGTAGCTAATTCTTCTCAGATGGCTATTGCCCCAGCTGAGTGGTACCATAACACCGTTTCTCCAAAGAGACATTTCCCAGACTTTTCCAGCACACAGACAGACTGCAAATGAGGTTGTCGAGGCATCCTGGAAGAATGCCTTCACCCATTCCCTCTGAACTGGCTCAGTGAGCCTCTTGCTTCACCTAAACTCATTTTCCAAATCCATTACACGGGGAAGGCTCATTCTGAAATTTAAGTCTGATACTGTTGAAGTATCCCATGTCTTCCTAATTCCCTTGGGAGGTCCAGATTCCTTAGAGCTCCAACAAAGCTTAGGCTCTTCCTGCCTCTCCAGCATCATCTTCCCCAGCCCCCATTCACCTCCAGCCAGGCTGAGAACCAGGGGCCTCCTGTACATGCATGTCCTTATTGTACATGCTGTTCCCCCAGCCTGGCAAGCTCCCACGTGTCCAACTTACCCTCCTCCACCTCCTCCACAAATCCTCAGTTTACCCCCAAATCTAGCTGGGAGTCCCAGCCACAAGCACCCTGAGCATCCTGTCTATAACTCCCTTGCCACTTCCGTCGCATACATTGTATTGTGTTTTGAGGTGTCTCTCTCATCTGCTGGACATGGTACCTCATTCATCCTTGAGTCTCCACCTTTGAGAAAAGATTCTACTCATAGTAGATGCTCAATAACTACTTGTGGCTTGCACAGAAGAACCAGCGACCTGTTTGATTATATGTCATCCTCACTTTAGCCTCTGAAACAAGTGTAGACGTATAATTGCTAGCAGGCTGTAGCAGGCTGGTTCAGCAGACCTGGGTTGGGAACTCTGATCCACCTTTTATCAGCTGTGACATTGGGTAATTCAGTCTTTTGAGTATCAACTTTCCCATCTCTGAAAGTGGTAGTATGCACCACTTCTTATGTCTGTGGTGAGGATTAAATGAGAAATTCTAGTGCATATTCGATGAGGGTTAATCATTATTTTTTATATTCTCTGCAATCAACTAAATGGTTACCATGTCCAGAAAGCTAGGGATTCCTGTCTACGGATTCCCATCTACGGATTCCCTGATGTATCCCAAATGCCTATCACAGTGCCTGGCACATAGCAGGTGCTCAATAAACATTTGCTGAAGAAATAAACAACCTGGTATTTCTAGACTGAGGGAGAAGCTCCCTGTATTCCTAGAATTTTTAGTTTCAACTGTAGAATTCTCAAGATATCATTTCCCCATTCCCAGAGACACTGATTTGGCAGAGTTTGGGTGGAGCCCAGAGACCTGCCTGTGAATGGGTTTCCCATGATCACTCAGTTCTCCATCATTTAGGAACCTTGACACCAGATGATTCAAGTCTCATTACCTCCTCCTTTTCTCACCTCACCACTATCCCTTTCCAGTTGCAGTCATCTAAAAGCCCAATCTTGGTATCAGTAATGATCATTGTGCTGGGGCTAATATTATTTTTGTGAGGCACAGAAACCCAGCAAAGGCTTTTAAGTGAATACTTGGTAATAGAACAATCAAGTTAAAAGATCAGTGTGACACAGAGCATGAAATAGGAAAGTATCGTGGTCAATTGATTTGGACCACACTTACGGGTTTGTGAAATGAATTTCATTTTCTGGACCAAATGGAAGCCCTGCTTATAAATCACTGCCGGTCTTGGAGATTAATAAAGGAAACAGGCTTGATTAAGAATTCAGAGCATTGGTCCCATTGCAGATTTATAGACCCAGAGGTCTTGCCACAGAGATTTCAAGAGGCCCCACCTGTTAAGTGTCATTTAGGAAGATTAACCCCAGGGCTTCTGGCTAAGAATTGAGGACAGGGCCTGAGCCCTGCCTGGGATGGAAGGTAGATTCTAGGAAATGCATTTCTCCATGCTTTTCTAACCCTCCCAGAAAGTTCACAACTCATGTGCCCTTTGATATAACATTGTGTAGAATTTTTCCTAGATTCTGGACAGATGGAAATTTTTATTTAAAACCCCTTCTGCATCTATCTCTACCAAAACTTGGCAGAGCAGAGTTGACTCAAGATTGGAAATTAAAAACAAGACAAATGCAACAGTGCGGGGGTAGTAAAGGCGTTTAATTAAATCAACTAAATGTAAAAGATCTCCATCCATTCTCTGATGCTTGCATAACCCTGCACATGGAGAGGTTTGCATCTAGTGCTGAGACGTTTGGCATTTGAGAATATTTTTGAAATTCCTCATCTGTCAGAAGCTGATGTTGGCCAGGCATGGTGGCTCACACCTCTAATCCCAGCACTTTGGGAGGACAAGGCAGGTGGATCACTTGAGGCCAAGAATTTGAAACCGGCCTGGCCAATATGGAGAAACCCTGTCTCTACTAAAAATACAAAAAATTACCTGGGCGTGGTGGCACTCACCTGTAGTCCCAGCTACTTGAGAGGCTGAGGCACAAGAATCGCTTGAACCCAGGAGGTGGACGTTGCAGTGAGCCGAGATTGCACCACTGCTCTGGGCAACAGAGTAAGACTTTGTCTAAAAAAAAAAAAAAAGAAAGAAAGAAAGCTGATGTTAAAGACCAAAAAGAGAGAGCAGAGCTTGTGAAGCCAGTGTTAGGAGAAGGGACAGGACCACTTTAACAAGTTTGTTGGGACAGAGCCAACTCATGTATTTTGGTGAAATGTCACGGTTTGGGACCCAGTATTTGCAAAAGTGTGCTCTGCAAACCAGAAGTTATGTTATTTTAGCATTCCACTCTATAATATTATTGGCCCTGATGGTTTCAAATCCAGCACAAGTTAGAAGTCAGAATGGTGTTACTAATGTCCAGAAGGGAGCGTGAGGTGGGGTTCTGAGGTGTCGCTAGTGTTCAGCAACTCGATCTGGATACATTCAGTTTGTGAAATTTTATCAAGCTTTACAATGAACATTTTCACTTTTCTGATCACCTATATTTCAATAAAAAAGTTAGAATTTTTGAAAGCAGCAGGAAAATGAATGGGTACATCTGATTATTCTGCAACATACTAGCATTGCTTGAAACTGAAAACACCAATTAGGAAGCCTTGTATAGCAATTCCTTTCTTCCCTCCTTCCCTTCCTTCCTTTCCTTCCTTCAACAAATCCTTTATGCCTACTCTGTTTATTCTACATGACTCTGTTTCACTTTCTTCAGAGCACTTGTCATTATCTAAAATTATCTTGTAATTTGTTTTGCTTACTGGTGTTGCACCTGTCCCCCCTCCCCATAGAATGCAACTTCATGAGGGAAGGTACCTTGTGTTTCTCATTCACCACTGTATACCCAGGGCCTAGCAAGTGCCTGGCACAGAGCAAACACTCAATGAACATCTGCTGGTTTCACAAATCAAAGAAATCAAGGCAGCATGCTAAGCCTTGGACTTTTTCCCAACGCGTACATCAATTGTAGTGCTTGGTTGCATGGTCATTTTAAACCTGCAAAGATTACTGAACCTCTACAAAGCTCTGGAATTGTGGCAAAGAACAAAACAGAAAGTCCTGTGCACCCTCCTAGAGCTTAGAGTTTAAAAAGCAATTAAGGTAACAGGCGATAAGACTTGTAAAAGGGAAAACATAAAGTGCTGCTGAAGATCGGGAAAAATGCACTTAGAAGTGAGACAGAGGCTGGGCATGGTAGCTCATGCCTGTAATCTCAACAGTTTGGGAGGCAGAGATGGGAAGGTCACTTGAGGCCAGGAGTTGGAGACCAGCCCGGTCCACACAGTGAGACTCCATCTCTATTGAAAAAAAATTTTTTTAATCTATTTTAAAAATAAGGGAGACAGAAAGAAGCACATGCTTAGTAAAGAGCTGGGTCACCTTGATGGCAGGAGCTAGAATAGAAACCACAGACTACCTTCTGAGCACCCTAAAGTCCCTCTCATCAGGAAGCTTTCCTGGGTTCCCTATATATTTGCAAGGCCACGTACCTCGACTAAGCCTAGGTCAGAATCTCTTAAAAGGTTATGGACTTAACTGTGTCACCTCTAAATTCATATGTTGAAGCCCTAAACCCCCAATGTGACTGTTTCGAGATAGAGCCTTTAAGGGGGTGATTAAGGTTAAACGGGAGTGTAAAGGTGGGGTCCTGATCTGATAGGACTGCTGTCCTTATAAGAAGAGGAAGACAAATGGCCAGGCGTGGTGGCTCACGCCTGTAATCCCAGCACTTTGGGAGGTCAAGGCAGGTGGATCACTTGAGCTCAGGAGTTCAAGACTAGCCTGGGCAACAGGGCCAAACCCCATCTCTACACATATATATATACACACACACACACAAAAGAAATTATCTGGGCGTGGTGGTGCATACCTGTAGTCCCAGCTATTTGGGGGGCTGAGGCAGGAGGATCACTTGAACCCATGAGGTCGAGGCTGAAGTGAGTCAAGATTATAGCACTGCACTCCAGTCTGAGGGAAAACATAAGATCTGTCTCAAAAAAAGAAGAAGAAGGGGGGGTTGGGGGGGGAGAAAGAAGAAGGAGGAAGAGGAGGAGGAGGAGGAAGAGGAGGAGGGGGAGGGGAGGGGGAGGAGGAGATGACACTGGAGATCCACCTCTCTCTACGCACAAAGGAAAGGCTATGTGAGGACACAGCAGCAAGAAGATGCCATGTGAAAGCTGAGAAATAAGGCCTCACCGGAAAGCAGCCCTGCTGGCACCTTAATCTTGGACTTCTGTCCTCCAGAACTGTGAGAAAATAAATTTCTGTTGCTTTGTGGTATTTTGGCGTGGCAGCTCTAGCAGACTACTACACCCCGTGTATCTGATTTTGTGGCTTTTAATTACATGTATTAGCTGGGACTCTGCTAATGCTGCAGTACCACAAAGGTCTTCATGAGAACAGCTTTTATTCGCTCAGTAAGAATAATTCACCATCAGTATATTAGTAGATAGCCTATAAATTCTGCCAGAAACGAGAAATCGAAAGGCATTATTGGAAGTGGTTTAAATATTGCCCCTGTTACGTTGCTTACCATATCTTTCTTCTGGGTCGTCCATTCATCCAACAAACATTTACTGAATGCCAACCATATACCCAGAAAAGAGCATTGACCAAGTCCTTCTCTCATGGGTCTGTGCCTGGCCAACAGGAAGACCAAGAGAAAGCAATTCAGGCAGAGGATACAAGTGCAAACTCCTGAGACAGAAATGAGATCATATAAAAGCCACTTTGGTCAAAACTTAGAATTATCACTGAGTTTCAAGGGTGGAGCATATGCTCAATAACTATTTGTTGCTTAAACAGAATGTTTAATCATATCCCACGCTCACCTTATCCTCTGGATCTGACACAGGTATACCAGAATTCCTAGAGCCCTATAGTGGGCTAGATCCACAGATATGGGTTTGGATCCCTGCCCTACCTCTTGTCAGTATCAAGGGCTATTGAGGGTCTAGTATACTTAGAAAAGGAAGCCAACATTTAATGCTGTTGGATACTATGTATTCAAACTTTCTTGTGTTACCCAATCTTGTTATCCAAAGTGTGGTCTTCAGACCAGCAGCATCAGCATCACCTGGAACCTTACTAAAAATGCAGAATCCAGGCCAGGTGCAGTGGCTTATGCCAGTAATCCCAGTATTTTGAGAGGCCGAGGTGAGAGGATCATTTGAGCTCAGAAGTTCAAGACCAGCCTAGGCAACATAATGAGACCCCCGTCTCTCCAAAAATTTTAAAAATTAGCCAGGCACAGTGACTCATGCCTGTAGTCCCAGCTACTTGAGAAGCTGAGGTGGCAAGATCACTTGAGCCTGGGAGATGGAGGCTGCAGTGAGCAATGATTGCACCACTGAACTCCAGCCTGGATGGCAGAGTGAGACCCTCTCTTCAAACAGAGAGAGAGAGAGAGAGAGAGAGAGACAGAGAGAGAGAGAGAGAGAGAGAGAGAGAAATGCAGAATTCCTGGCCCTACCCAGACCTACAGAACCTGAATTTTTTCTTTTTTTGTTTTGTTTTGTTTTGTTTAATTTGAGATGGAGTCTTGCTCTGTTGCCAGGCTGGAGTGCAGTGGCACGATCTTGGCTCACTGCAACCTCCACCTCCCAGGTTCAAGTGATACTCCTGTCTCAGCCTCCAGAGTAGCTGGGACTACAGGCGCGCACCACCACACTCAGCTAATTTTTGTATTTTTAGTAGAAAGGGGTTTCACCATGTCGGCCAGGATGGTCTCAATCTCTCGACCTCGTGATCCACCCACCTCGGCCTCCCAAAGTGCTGGGATTACAGGAGTGAATCACCGCACCCAGCCCAGAATCTGAGTTTTAGTGGATTCATGCAAACATGATAGGTTGAGGCTTGTTGCTCTAGAAAACACTTTATATCCATTATTTTATTTCATCCTTGGAAGAAAGACATTAAATGTGGACTCATGTCAAAAATATGACAATGTCATCCTCTCCCTCATCTTCGATTCATACCAACCTTTTTTAATAGCCTCCGAGAAATACAATGACCATGTGGGCTGCAGAGACAAGATTCAGGAGGAAGATTTGGATCTGAAAAGAGCTGTGAATGCAGGAGGGCCTGGAAGGAAGGAAACTCAGAAGTGTTTGGTCTCCATTTTTTGCTTGGTTTGTCCCAGAAATCACAGTCAAATAGGGACAGATTCCCCTGAGATAAACAAAGACCAACCAGCTCTCACTGAGTCATGGCTTGTGTGCTTTAAAGGGAGCAAGGGAGAGTGCTTTGGAATAAGCTCTTGTAATGTTTCAGAGAGCGGACAATTATGAGCATTGGTTACACACTGCTTCAGGGTCTCCAGGCCTTCCGGGCCAGGGGTCTGTCTTCCCTGGGGAATCAGACTGTGAATACTCGTGACTCAGTGTTATCTTTGGTAAGTAGGAAGCCCTAGGATTTGATTAGACCCAGCTGGTGCAGCAAAGGGTCATTTGTCCAGAAAATTAGGGCTGTCTTGCCTGCAAAGCTGTAAGTGGGAAAAGTGCAGGGTCAGTTGAAATGGTTTCAGTATCCATGGGCCAAATTAAAAGGCACAAAGCAGAGTATAATCTATAATTCAGGAGTCCAGAAAGAGCAGGACAACTACATCAGAGAGAAAAGCACACACATGCAGGATGGGTTCCATTGCCTGAACGTCTTCAGGAAAATGATTATGATTATTTTGCACAGGAAGGAAAAATGCTTCCAAGAATCGAAGAAGGACACTGTTCAGAAGTGCTCATAAGCTGGCATAAGAGACAGCACAGGAAGGGCCCGAGGATCTATTTTACAGATCGGTAAAGGTGCTGACAGCACAGTCAATTACTCGGGCAATTTTCTAACTTCAGAGCATCATCGTAAAGGTAGATTTTTCCATCCCCACCCCTCAAATTCCTCCTCTCAGCATAGTCAATTTTGCTGACCCTCCAGCAGCAGACTGAAAGAGCAAAAAGATGAACCATACACTAGGGTGGCTCACAAAAATCCAGAAGCTTCCCCCTTGACCACCTCCTCCCCATCATTGGATTGGGATGAGGATCAATCAGGGAGGAAAATGCATATCCCACCTCCAAAGTCACAGGAGTGGAAAACCACACCCTAGGCAATATAGATTCACATACAGATTCCACTAAGAGTCGTCTAGACCAGGAGTCAGCAACTTTTTTTGTAAAGGGCCAGATAGTAAGTATTTTAGATGTTGCAAATCATCAGGTCTTTCCATTGCAGCTCTTCAACTCTGCCATTGCAGGGTGAAAGCAGCCATAGATGATATATAAGTGAATGTACATAAAGAGTTTCAATAAAACTTTATTGACAAAAACAAGTAGTGGGCCAGATTTGGCACACAGGCCAGAGTTTGCCAATCGCTGACCTAGAAAAATGTAGCCCTATCTTCTCATTGTGCAGATGGATAAAGCAAGACTCAGGTGAGAGATGACTTGCCCAAGGTCACACACCTCGGTAAAGACAGAGCTGTAGGGGAAAGCCTAAAATGTTAACTCTATCTTCTAAAGCTCTCTCTACCATACCACATGGCCCCCCTGTTTCTTCTTTCCTGCCTTCTTCCCCTTCATTACTTGCTTAACACCGGGGGTACCATATGCAAGCAAACAGTGCCTGTATGCACACAGCTTTCAGCCTACTGCTACACCAAGAAACCATTTTTTAAATAAGCTTCAAGAATCAGCATTAAGTTTGTGTTGGTTTATAAATGTTAATATTCTAAAACCACTGCAATTACATTATTAGAATGGTGCTGTCCTGAGGCATGCACTACCCTTAATATGTTTTCTTTTTGTAAATATGTAATTATTTGTGGATTATTCAAATAATTGTGTTCGTTGAAAGGAAATTTTTTTTAATGTAAATAAGGCATGGAGAAAGAAATTGCTCACTATCCCATTATTCAAAGATACCCACATTAGCAATCTGGTGTGATTTCTTCCACTTTTTCACATAGCTTTACATAGGCATGTATAGATATGAGTGTATATGTGTGTGTGAACATAAACGAGTGTGGTGTGTATTGGGGGCGCAACAAAAATGGGATCCTTCTCTATGAACCACTTTGCACAGACATAACGTTGCTTCTGTGGTGAAACGCCTATTCATTCCTGTCAAACAACTTACAATAAATTTTTGGAACACAGCCTGCTCTTGAGTTGTCATTTGCCTACATTTCTTTTTTTTTTTTTTTTTTTTTGAGACAGAGTCTCACTCTGTTGCCCAGGCTGGAGTGCAATGGCACGATCTCGGCTCACTGCAACCTCCGATTCCTGGGTTCAAGCAATTCTCCTGCCTCAGCCTCCTGAGTAGCTGGGACTACAGGCGCGTACCACCACGCCTGGCTAATTTTTTGTATTTTTAGTAGAGACGGGGTTTCACCGTGTTAGCCAGGATGGTCTCGAACTCCTGACCTCATGATCCACCCACCTCGGCCTCCCAAAGTGCTGGGATTACAGGCGTGGGCCACCGTGCCCAGCCTTTGCCTAAATTTCTTAAGAGCCTTTGGGGCCTAAGAAGAAATAGTGTTGGTGGTGGTTGGGATGCGGCAGGCATGACTTTGTTGGTCCAGATATAAACATACCACCATTAGCAGAGAGCAATTCTTGCAAAGATCTAGACCCATGAGCAACCAATGATAAATAATCCATTGCAGGGAAATAATTTTGGCATGGGCCTCCGGGGAGTGGACTGGGATCTTTTTTTAACATTCTCCATCTCAATTTTATGAATCTGACAGGCAAGTAAAACATAAGACCCTCCTATATTGGGAGACTCAAGGTTGTGGCAACTGAAACCCCAGTGGTTTCTTCCTCTTTGAATGGTGCCTCATGTTGTATGAACCATCTGTGTCTTGATCCAATTCAAACAGGACCATTTTCTGAGGCTGGCAAAGGGAAGTTCTGTGATCTGTATTGATTAATTCTATCCAGCCATTTTGAAGCCCTGAGTATACACGTGTAATCCTGAGGATTTTCTCAGCTGTGGGCAACACAGGCCAACTCTGGATTACATAAGCAAAGCAGGACATTCGTGTAAGATGAATGAATAGGCTCATGAACCCTGAAGAAGGGACTCAGGAAAGACAGGAAGCAAGGCATTGTGTCAAGGGACGAGGAACCAATAGTGACATTCTTCTGGGCATGATTGTCTGGGTGAATCAGCTCCAACCCATTTTCAGTCTTTGCATCACTCTACTCAAGACTTCAATTTCCAGGAGTGTCCAGCTGATCTTCCTGGGTCTCATTCTCACCCCTTTACTAAGGAAGGAACAGCACCTTGATCAACATCCCCAGCTGGGGGCGAAAGTGCTCCCAAAACAAAACTAGAGTAATATTCCTAGAAGGAAAAATCATGCTAAGCAGGCAGAAATCACATATGTCTGCCACTGTGGGTAATATGCTAGGATAATAAGCTAAAATAGACTGAATCTCACACTGCACAGATATATGGTTGGTTTTCCTTCCATAGCCTAGACTCCCCTTCTTCCTTAGAACCATGATGCCTGGGGATGTGGCCGGGGACGGCGGTGGGTTGGGGGAAGCTGTGTTTCTCAGCTTCCGTTACAGCCAGGTGTAATCATGTAATTACATTCCAAGTTTCAGTCAAAGCAAAAGCAGCTTTGCTTTTTCTTCTGACTGAAATAAGAGTATGATGGCTTGAGCCAGAGCAGCCATCTTGAGCCACAAGGTAACTTTGGATGTGGAGGCCATCCATGGCAAAGCAGCAAGTTGATCTTGACTGTTTACCTCTGAGCTTTTAAAAGGGAGAGAAATAAATATCTAGCTTATTTATGAAAACAAAATGTGGAGGTTTGTTACAAACAATCTAATCCTAAATAATACAGGGTCCATCTACAGCAACTGCTATTAAAGAGGAAAAGCAATGGGAGATCTGGGAAGCCAAAATCCTGAGGTGTATGGAGATGGAGAATCAGGGAAGGCTTCATGGAGTAGGCACTTGTGGGATGGAAAAGGGACAGTAGTGAGAAATGGGTCCATTAGTCCAGCCAGTGAGGATGACTGGGGAAAGACAAAGAGTAGAAGGGTTTCATTGAATGTACGGGACCAAAACAGATCTTTCATGCACAGGAAACTCATCAAGATAACATCAGAAAGGAGGCTGAGTTGGTCTGATTCTAGATAGTTCTGAACTCTAAGAAAAAGAGTTGAAACTTTGTCCTGCTGGCCAGAGTTCAACAAATTTTGTCTGTAAAAGTTCAAATAGTAAATATTTTAGGTTTTGTGGGCCTCATACGGTCTCTGTCACAATGACTTCACTGTTGTCATCACAGTTAATACACAATATGTAAATGAACAGTCATCACTGCGATCCAACAAAACTTTATTTATAAAAACAGGCATCCAGACTATAGACCTTGGCTTGCTGACCCCTGCTATAGGCTTAGGGTCCCCAAAGTATGTCCCTTTGGCCACGTGTCCCTAGAAATGGTTCAACAGAAACATGGTTCTGTTAGCAAATGAGGTTGGGAAATGCCCCATTATTTATCCATCTCCTAGAGAGTCACAGTGCATCTTTGTATGGTAAAGGCTCTGATAAGTCCTGCAGCAAGGAAACCTACTAGACCTTGTTTAATCGCTGCACTTCCCTAGCTTATTTTAAAAGACCTCTTTAGTTTCAAAGAAGAGACTTTGGCAGCCTTGTATAACTGATGATGGGACCCCACTAAACCAAAGGTTTCCAAAAATGGGTCTGTGGAAACGTTTCCACTGGCTCCCTGTGAAATGATCAAAGTTACATCATCAGTCTAGTCAGTTTTTCAAAATGAGAAATTTATTTTATAGCTCTGTTCTTAATTTTAAAATTATATCCCTTCTGCTTTGATGTTGAATTTTTTATCTCCTATGAAGTGATGAATTTAAAGGAAGGTAGCCATTATTCTATTAGATGTACTTATTAGGTGAAATAAAAACCTGACAACTCTATGACAAGCCCAGATAATAGCTTTGCATTGATTTTTACTTGTGAAATATAGCACATATACAGAAAAGAGCACAAAATATAGCTGTACAGCTGAACTATCACAAAATGAATACCTGTGTAACCACAATTTAGGTCAAAAAATAAAATACTGCCAGCACCTCAGAAGCCCCTCTGCTAGCACTTCTCATCATCCCCTTCCCCCTCCCCAAAGGAAAACACCACCCTGATTTCCAACACAAAGTCCTGCCTTTAGTTTTCTATTCCAAATGGATTGTAAGTGATATACTCTTTCATACATGGGTGTTTCTGTCCAACATTTTTCTTTTCTTTTTTTTCTTTCTTTCCCCTTTCCTTCCTTCCTTCCTTTCTTCCTTCCTTCCTTCCTTTCGTTCCTTCGTTCATTCTTTCTTTCGTTCTTTCTTTCGACAGGATCTCACTCCATTGCCCAGGCTGGAGTGCAGTGATGTGATTTTGGCTCATTGCACCCTCTGCCTCCCAGGCTCAGGTGATCCTCCCACCTCAGACTCCTAAGTAGCTGGGCCCACAGATGCATGCCACCACACGTGGCTAATTTTTGTATTTTTTGTAGAGACAGGGTTTTTCCATGTTGCCCAGGCTAGTCTCGAACTCCTGGCCTCAAGCGATCTGCCCACCTCGGCCTCCCACAGTGCTGGAATTACAGGCATGAGCCGCTGTACCTGGCCCCAATATATTTCTAACATTCCTCCCTGTTGTCGTATTTCACACAGATCAATTCATTTTTGATGATGCACGGTATTGCACTGCATGAAGGGCATTCTGGTTGCTGCCAGTTTGGAGCTGCTACAAAAGTGCCACTGAGAACATTTTGTCACTTGTGCACACATTTCTGTTGGATATATACATGCACATACACACCTAGGTGTGGATTTGCTGGATCACACACATGAATATCTATTTTGATTAGGTTAATTGTATGTTCAAGGACTCTCCCAATCAATGCCTATGGAATCAGTGAACACTTCCCCCTTTCATTCCTGAAAATGAGCTTGTTTGGACAATAAATCATAAAGCCGCCCTGTCTTTAGTGGAGAACACCAAACTGCTTTCCAAAGAGGTTGTGCCAATTACACTCTCACCAACACTTGTGAGAGTTTGAGTCACTCCACATCCTTGCCAACACTTAGTATGGATAGTCTTTTAATCCTAGAAACTCTGGTGCATGTCCTTAGTCTGATATTGTTCGTCTTTTCCATCTAAGCCATTCTGGTGTGTGTGGGTAGCATCTTATTGCAGCTTTAATGGGCATTTCTCTGACTCCTGATAGGATTGAGTACCTTTTCATCTATTTATTAACCATTCAGATGTTCCCCTTTGGAAAATCCCTGTTCAAGTCTCTTGCATTTTTCTACTGAACTGTTCTCTCATTTTCTGATTTTGGGAGATCTTAAAATATTATTCACAGAACCCCGTACCAGTCATAGGCAGTGCAGATATTTTTCCAGCTCTGTGAATTGCCTTTTCATTTTCTCAGTGTATTTATAAAAGTTCTTGCTGGTCTAGGACAAAAAACCAAACACCGCATGTTCTCACTCATAGGTGGGAATTGAACAATGAGAACACATGGACACAGGAAGGGGAACATCACACACCGGGGCCTGTTGTGGGGTGGGGGGACGGGGGAGGGGTAGCATTAGGAGATGTACCTAATGTAAATGACGAGTTAATGGGTGCAGCACACCAACATGGCACATGTATACATATGTAACAAACCTGCACATTGTGCACATGTACCCTAAAACTTAAAGTATACTTAAAAACAAAAAAAGTTCTTGCTGGTCTACGAAATCCAGTTGTCTCGAGTTCTTTCACTGCTCTAAAAACAAGGACGGGATGATGCCCTGTTCCTCTGTGTTTCCCTAGACCAGAGCTGTCTAACAGAACTTTCAGTGAATGATGTGGCTAGGGAGCACATAGGCACGTCTCAGTGAGACAGAGCAACTGGTCTTTAATTTTAATTTAAATGAGCCACACGTGGCCAGTGGCTACCATATTGGATAGCACAGTTTCAGAGCCTGGTACACTGTAAACAATGAATGTGTCTGAGTACTGAGTAGGGAAATGGCTTGAGGAAAATGGCCTGTTTGGAAGAATAACCAATCTGAAGAATTCGGCTGAAACTCCTGGGCACAAACACAATAGGTTCTAAACTGTTCTACATTTATTCTTTCCTACCACCCCCAAAATTCAGTTTCCACACAGCAACAGAACAATGATATTAAAATTCAGATCCAATTATGGTTGCCCCTTGGTTAAAACCCTTCACTGGTTTCACATCGTCCTTCATAGAAATGCCACGTTGTGTATTAGAGACGCCAGAATCTGGTTCCACCTGCTTCATCTTCCACCCTCCCCTCTCCCTGGTTCCACCTTCCCAAATGTGTCACGCTCCTTCCTCCGTTGGGGATTTTGCACATGCTAGCTCTTCTTCCTGGGTTTTGTTTCTTTTTCCCTCTCTCCTACTCTCCACTCCCTCCTCACCTGACTGGCACCTTCCCCTCTGCATTCGTTTGCTAGGGCTGCCATGACAAGGTACCACAATGGGAGTGGATAAAAACACAGTTCTGGAATGTGAAAGTCCAAGATCAAGATGTCATGCTCCTTTTGAAGGTGATTTGCTGGCAGTTTTTGGCACTCCTTGGCTTGTGGAAATACCAGCCTCATCTCTGCCTCCTGTTCTCATGTCCTTCTCCCTGTGTGTGTGTGTCTGTCTCTAAATTTCCCCTTTTTATAAAGATACCAGTCATATTATAGCAGGGGCCCATCCTACTCTACTCTAACCTCATCTTAACTAATTACATCAGCAACAACACTATTTCCAAATAAGGTCACATTCTGAGGTCTAGGGGCTAGGACTTTGACAAATGAATGCTGGGGAGAAGAGGATGGAATTGAACCCATAACAACAGTCTTCCGGTCTGAGATAAAATGTCCCTTACAGAGACAGTTTTCCCCTACTTCCCAGACCAAGTGCCACCCCTCCCTCCCCCATCATTATACCTGTGCGTTGCCTTTGTGGCACTTCTCAGAGCTCAAATCAATTATTTGTTTTATGTTTGTCTTCCACCACCAGATTAAGTTTCATGGGGAAGTATCTGGAGGAAGTATCTCCAAGTACTGGCACACAGAGGGGCACAGAGTAGGACTTCTAACCATTTTCCACCAATGGACGGACCAGTCACAAACGAGCCACAAAGTGCCATGTGATGTTTACCAGCTCAGATCCCAGAGGCAGACAAACTAGGTTCAAGTCCCAGCTCTGCAACATCTTAGATGAACGATCTCGGGCACGTCACTGACTTTGTCCATGACTCAGTTTTCTCCTCTGAAAAATACCTCCTCCATCAGGTATCAAGTAAGTGAATACACAGGAAAAGTATAGATATCAGTACCTGGTGCAGAGCAAAAACCCAATGAGGTTAGTTAGCACTTCAGACAGGGAATGCCGAAATCAGCATCTTCCGTAACAACGCTCCCTTTCAAGACAATTCTCTCATTTCACAAGGTCATCGTCGTCAGTGTCCTTCCATCCCTGCGTTTTGCGTTCTGGTGGGTTTGGCCATGCTTCTGATTGGAATGCAATTTCATGCGGTTTGGGACGAGACGTTGTTCCTTGAAACTTCCGCCCCATGGCTCTCTCGAGATTTCTTGGAGATAGAAAAGTAGATTTGGCTCTGTTCAGAACCTGTTTGAACATTCGTTGCACATACTTCAAAACCAAGACCTTTGGACTTCTCACCCATTTACTCTTGGCAAAAGGCAGCTTCCTGCTTCTGAGAAGTTAAGCTTTCAAGCTTAGGGAAAAAGGCTTTTTGGACAACAAACAGCCCTGTAAAAACAATATTTTGATGAGTTAAGTGTAAATGAATCAGAAACACATGGATTAAGCTTCTCTTGATGTACACATGGGTTTAATAATTATTGGGGGTGGGAGAGAAGGGAAATGGGGCTGGAAAAGCTGTGTCTTGGGTTTTATCAAATCTAAAATGTTTGAGAAGTAATTCAAGACATTCCACAGACCCCCAAGTGTAGCCAAATTTTCCGATTCCACTTCCAAGGAGCCACACAGGATCTTTCTAGTAACAACTGAGTGCTCTACAGTGCCAGGTTTTCATGGCTTCTGATTGGCTGGGTATAGAGCTATGATTTATGAGACCATTCAAAGATTTATATATTGCCGTTATAACAAATTCCTTTCAAACGGAACAGTGCCCAAATGCAGCTTTAAAAATATCTTTCCTGTTAGAAGCCTCCTTTCTATTCACAAAACTCTCCTTCTTTTCCTTTTCCCCAGCCCCTCCTTAAACCACAGATCCCCCCACGAGGTCTCAGACCAATGAAGACTGAGGGAATTAATTTTACCATGACTGAAACGTGTTTCACTTTGGATTGAGTTTTAAATGACTTGGGTCTATATAAACTGAGGGTCACAAGAAGGTTATAGCTAAAGGGCTTATAAGTTAGGTGAAGGGTGGAAGGGGTGGAATTTTATAAATGCTTATTGCTTTCATAAAAAGAAAATTAAGTTGTGTTCGTGCCGAACACAGTCAAACACTTAATATATCAGGGCACACTGTTTCCTAGAGGAAATGTTCCATACTGATTTGGTGGGCTTCCGTCTTCCTCCATTTCAATGACATCATCAGTGTTGGGCATCTGGTTAGGATAAGTAACTTCTTCCACATGTCACCATCCATGTGTCCTTCCCTAAAATAAATTTTGAATCACTCCAAGCTCTGAGGTATTCTAAATCACTTGGCTTAACAGGCAGCAGAATAGCGAGGTGAGAGGTAGTGGGAAGAAGAACTTCCTGATTTTCTGATTCATTGTCCCACAGGTCTTGCTTCAAGTGACATACTCACAAGTTCCACCCAGTATGGAGTACAGAGGTTATCAGAAGAAGAAATGACAGAGTTAAGCCCCCATGAGTTTCACAGCAGGCACATGACTGCAAAATTGGAATCAGAGTTGACTGTTTTAGCAAACACACAAGTGGTGGCAATGTAACATATGAAAGCCATTGCCCAAATGACCCAAGCCATCTGTATCAGTCAGCTATGCTACAATAATGCTGTATAACAAACAATCCCAAAATTCATTATAAGGACATTCATTTATTATCGTGTTCACAGATCTGTAAGTTGACTATAACCAGCTGAGCTAGGATGAACTTAATGCTCTAGATTCTGACTCTGGGCTCCAGGCTATAAACTGGGTTTAGATCTGTTTCAAGTGTCTTTCACCCTACCTGTACCAGCAGTCACCTAGATCATGTAGCTTGTTCTACATGTCACATTCTAGAGCCCAGGTCTACAATTCCTTCTCAGATACAAATATTGCTACTACACTACATTGCTTCTTGCTGTCTATATTACTTAAGTACTAAAATGTCTAATAAGTACATATATTCTCAGGTCTAGCTCTTACCATGATGTCATCAGCTCAAGATTGCATGACTTTTATAAAAATAGCAGCAGCTACTTGGACCTGTTCTTCACATGGTGCATCACCAGAGTACAAGAGGTCAAGGTCAACTACACAAGCACGTTCCAAGTCTCTGCTCATGTTGAAGGCTTGCTCACATCACATCTACTAGCACTCCCTTGGGCAAAACAAGTCCCATGGCAAGTATTAGAGTCAAGGGGCAGGAAAGTACCCCCACCCAATCATGAGGCCATGGCAGGGTTGTGGATGTGTAATATGTCTTCAAGGAACTCAAGAATTGAGACCAATTATTCAATCAAATCACCCCAAGTGTTTCTTGACCCTTTCTCTCCATCCATACCATATATCAAACCACCAACTCCTACTAATTCTACCTGCTTATCATATCTAATCCATCCATTTCTCCATCCCCTTACACTATCTTTTCTAAGCCCCCAACATCTCTCATATGGACCACTCCCATAGCACCCTCCCTGGTGGTGCCACTTCAAGCCATTTCCCACATTGTGACCAATGTGGCTTTCCTAAAAGGCATATCTGATAGTGCCTCTGCTCTACTTTTTGATGGGCTTCCCTTCACACTCAGGATAAAGTCCAGAAACCTTAACTTGATCCACAAGGTCTTATGTGAACCAGTCTGTCTACCTCTTTGTTCTTATTTCTTCCCTGTTCTCCCTCACTCTCTGCCTCAGTCACACTGTCTTCCCCAACAAGCCTCCAAAACACATATTCTCATCTGTCCAAATGACCTTCTCTATTGATGGTATAGAAGGCTCTTCCGACCCTCTCCTTCCCTGGATAACTTCCTCCTATTTTTCACGTCTCTGCTGAAGAAATGTGTTTACAAAAAAGCCTCCCTTGATGCCATAAACCAAGGTAGATCCTGAATGGTTTTTAAACATGTCTGAAAAATGTCCATGTAGGAGTCTATTTCCCCTACCCTTAGACCTAAGAGGGACTTTGTGACTGTCCCCATGAGTAGAATACAGCAAAAGTGACATTGCATGCCCTCTGAGGCTGGGTTAGGAAACCATATCACTTCCACTGGTTTCTCTTGGGACACTCACCCTTGAAACCCAGTCTCTATGCTGTGAGGAAGCCCAGAACACATGGAGAGGCCCATGTGGAGGTAACTTAGGCCTCCCAGCCAACAGCCCCAGCTGAGCTCCCAGCTGACAGCAAGCACCATCTTGCCAGTCATATGAATAGGCCACTTTGGAAATAGATCCCCCAGCTCTTAGTCAACCCAACCAATGCCACGTGGAGAAGAGACAAGCCTTCCCCACTGAGCCCAGCCCAAGCTGCAGATTTGTGAGCAATATTACTGCCATTGTTGTTTTAAGATTGCTGTCGTCTTAAGTCACAGTCTGGGGGCAGTTTGTGACTCAGCCTTAGCTAACAAGAACTGTGCCCCATTTATGGCTTTTAAGTCACTGTGATATCCTGTCACTCTAACCCATAAGCTATAAAGGCACAGACCATGTTGCTGCTGTAGCAATCTGTCCCTGTTACATAGCAGGTCCTCAGTACATATTTTTTGACCAATGACAGGGATCTGGGTTTTGGTAGGAAAAGCCAACCTTCTCTGGGAATGCAGGCTCATAAGCAAACACCCCACCTTCCCTTGCCTCTCTTTTCTCATCACAGTCACAAATGACACCTCCAAACCTACTTGTATTTTAAGTAAAGTATCTATAAGAGTTCCAGCAGGATACAGTACGCTCAGATTAGAATAATTTGAAAATAGCGTAGTTCACTGTGGCTGCTGTAACAAATGACCACAAACCCAGTGTCTTAAGAAACACAGAAATTTATACTTTCAGTCCTGGAGACCAGAAGTCTGAAATCAAGATGTCAACAGGGTCACACTGTCTCTGACGGCTCTAAGGGAAGGTCCTTCCTTGCCTCTCCAGCTTCCAACGGTTCCAGGCATTCCTTGACTGTGACTGCATCGCTCCAACCTCTGCCTCTATCTTCAAATGGCCTTTTCTCCTTTTCCTTATTTGTCTTTCCTTTGTCTCGTGTAAGGACACATGTCATAGGATTTGGGGCCCACCCAGGTATTCCAGGATGATCTTATCTCAAGATCCTTCACTACATCTGCAAGGACCCTGTTTCCACATTCATGGTTTCAGGGAGTAAGATGTGGACATGTGTGTCTTTTGGGTTTTTTTTTTAATTTTTTTGTCTTTGTTTTGTTTTGTTTTGTTGAGACAGAGTCTCGCACTGTCACCCAGGCTGGAGTGCAGTGGCACAATCTCGGCTCACTGCAACCTCCACCTCCTGGGTTCAAGCAATTCTCCTGCCTCAGCCTCCCGAGTAGCTAGTATTACAGGCTCCCACCACCATGCCTGGCTAATTTTTTTGTATTTTTAGTAGAGACGGGGTTTCACCATGTTGGCCAGACTGGTCTCGAACTCCTGACCTCATGATCTGCCCACCTCGGCCTCCCAAAGTGCTGGGATTACAGGTGTGAGCCACTGCTCCTGGCCTGACATGTCTTTTTGATACTATCATTCAACCCACTACCTAGGGCTAATTCAAGGGCTATTTTTAAATGCATGGGAAAGGTTGAGGGAGCCATAGTGAGGTACCCAGTCACAGTAGAACTCTTACCATCTCTAGAGCTGAAAGGAGGAGAATTGGGGGTTGTACCAGAACCAGAGAAAGAGAGGTGTGTGGCAACTCTCCAGGAGACAGTGTCCCTCCAAGAAGAGGGCTTCGTGGAGAAAAGTAGTGACTTTGAGTCCAAGGACACAACCAGACCAAGGTAACCCAAGGAGAGAGTCAAGGGAGCAATCTCTCTTCCTCCTAACTCCCCTCCACCAGGATGCCCTTGGTCAAGCCAAACCTAGAAGCCAGAGGGCAAGGAAGTCCACAGTAACATCTGCATGGGTCAGCTTCCTAGGCAGAGAGTAAAGGAAGATGGAGAGTGGAGCTGGAGGGGCAAGCAGAAAAGATCTGGAACAAACAGTGTGCTCAGAAAAGAAAGGACAAGAGGATCCCACATGGACTTGCAGATATAATACAGAAGCTTCCAACCAGAATGGCATGGGCTCCCTATAAAGAGTCAAGAGACCTGGACCCTTGACCCTGCTGTGCCACACAGAAGCTGGACACCTGAAGTAAGTCACTTTTCTTCTCTCAGCCTTCCTTTCCTCTTTTGCAAAAGAGGGAAATCTAATGTGCCCTACTTGCCTCAGATGGTCTGAAGTTCAAACAAGGGAACAGGTGGGAAATTGTATGCTCTTCACAGAGGCATATTTTTATCTCTGCTGCTTTCCAACCCCTGGAAGAGAACAGAGAACCTAACACATAGTAGATGCTAACATGTATTTGTCTAAATAATCATGACATTGAAACCCAATCAATGTCTTCTAGGATCCCATGGGGGGTGGATTCATGGCCCCTTCCACCCAATAATGGGGTGAACTGTATGGACTAAAACCTTCTTGAGGTTATAGCCTCTTATAACCTGCCTTATAAGCATGCTGCCCATTCAGAATTGGTCATTTCATAAATTAAGTGGGTCCTGATGGTGGTAGTGGAGCTGCCAGTGATAGTCAGAAGCATACCATCTACTAAAAAAGGACAAAAACCCAAGTCAAATAGACTTAACCAAAAAGGAGGATGTATTGGTTCACAAAACAAAAAATTTCATGTCAGATCGAGCGAGTTAGAATAAGGACCCATCAGTTCAAACACGGACCCAGTTCCTCTCTCTCCCTCTCCATTCTGTCTTGGAAACTGTTAGACTTGAACAGTGTTTGTACACATTTGGACATCTATACAAGGCCCTCTGATGCTCTAGAAACTTCCTTTCCATTAGCAACACAGTGAACACATGGCTTCCCCGCAGCCTGAGGGGGAAAGAGGGTCTCCTCTGGTCGCTTTCTCAGAGGGGAAAAGAGGCCTGTCTGTCAAAAATCCAAACAAATGTCTTCTTGCATTTCACAGGCCTGGATTGGTTCAGTACTCAACCCTGAGCCAATGCTTGTGGTCTGGGCTGGGGGCGTGGTGGAGGGAGATTTGTACATTGGCTTGCACTAGTTGGGTCTTGAAGCTGGGTGTTGGCGCAGTCCCACCCAAACCACATGGCTAAGAGAGATAAACCTGTCCAGAAAAATGCTAGGTAATGCTGCTAGGGAGAACAGATCGAATGCCGGTGAACATACACAGACCACTGCCTCACATTTGAGTTACAATTTCCGAAGCTCCTTTCTCACACATTGTCTCTGTGGACCCTTACAGAAGCTCTCTAAGGGACAGAATGAAGGCTTTTTGGCTCTAATATTTTCCACCACACTTACTAAGTGCATGCACATCTCTTTCCCTAACAGGAGTGATGCCAGGCAAGCCATTTCATTTTACCTCTGCATTCAGGGACATCGTGTTGGTAGCTTGAAGACAGCCATGCTGGGAATAGTTACACCATGGGAACTGCCAAACAGTACACAACAGGTAAGTTTTGTTCAGAAAGCTGATTTGCTGGCCCACTGAAGAGCTTCTGGCTCTGAGATTCTCCACAAAGTTCACCAAGGGGGTCAGAGAAGGATTTGTTTACCAGCCCCAGTCATCCTCCATTCAACCCCACAGTGGTCTTTCGAGAACAAGACTATGACATTTCATGACATTCTTTCATAGCTACCTATTACCTTCAAATTATCTTTCCAGATTCATTCCCTTACCCATCCTTTGAGCACTGGTTGTCAGTCACTTGCTATTCACAAAGCTCCAGCTGTTTTCTCACCTCCGTGACTGTGCACATGCTGTTTCCTCTGCTTGGAACACCCGTGTTTCCATCCTCCACGTGAGGGACCCTTCCTCCTCCACCAAGACTCAATGCAAAGGCTGCAGGCATTCTCCTCCTCCAGGTAGAGCTGGCTGATCTGTCTTCTGTGGTCCCACCACCTCTCCACCCCAGAACTGCCAAAATCTTGCTAGAATGTAATTACTCATCTACATATCTGTCACCTCCAGATGACTGCCTGCCTGGTTCACTGTTGTATTCTCAATGTCTAGCACAGAGCCCAGCCTACACTAGATAGTTCAAAACTAATTCTCAGATCAACAATGAATAAAACAAAGAAGTATTTAGCACCCACTATATGCCAGATACTGTACTAAGCATTGAAATTTGTGAGAGGGGTCAAGACATGGTCCTTGACCTCAAAGAGCTCAGATTATGCACATAAATAAGCAAGATTAAGACCTATGCTAAAATAAACAAGATAGAGACCTAAGTTAATCATCATTGCATCCCTTCTACTTAGCACTTAATATGTGCTAAACAACTGTTTGTGGAAAGAACGATGGTTCAAAACCCCCTTGACTTATTCAGGCCAGCAGAGGGGCATTCTTGACTCGGCTGTCATTTGTAATACACCATCATCACCAGACACTATTAAGCATCCGTGTAGTATAAACACAAAGCGAGTTACACAGACGCAGCCCCTGATGTCTGGGAGTCTGCATTAAACTAATGACATCAGCTCTCGGCAAACAGGAAAGAACAAACAAGCAGAGAAAGAAGTTGTGTGCTCCATGGTGAAATGGGAATGAGCAACCCAAGCTCGTGACGGGATCAGGGCACAGGCACATTGAGTACCAGGGACTCAGGCCAGCCGCCCTTTTTGGGTGGGATAAAGAGCATGCATCACCACTGCATTACCACTCTAAGGAGAAATGAAATGATGAAGACTTGAACACGAGGTGTGTAAGACTGAGAAATCATAATAGTAGTCATGATTGACATTTTCTTCACTATTGTCTGTGCACCAGGTACCATGCTGGCCACTGTATCTCTAGCAGGTCATTGAATCCTCACAATAGTCCTGAGGTCAATATTCACTTTATACAAATTAAAAACTGAGGTTCAAAAGAGGTAAGTCACTTGCCTAAAATTGCACAGCCAATAATAGGGAAGCCTGGGTTTCCAACTCAGATCTAATTCCTGAGCCTGATTTTTAGCCATAGCATTATACTACCTCAGAGAAGCTAGAAAAAGTGCAGACAAGTTTTAACCCTCTTTTCCAAGAGGGAAAGAGTTTGGATGAAATATGCATAAGTGTTTGACAGGTGAGCCTCCCTACGGCCAGGATGCAGAACTGCTCCATCACCACAAAGAAATTCCCTCGTGTTACTCCCTGTAAGTCTCACCCTTCCTCAATAGGCAGTTTGTTTCATAGCTGAGAAACCCAGCCAAGCAAACTGGGCTAGCACAGATCTCTCTTACATTTTTTGATCTGCTAATTTACTGTTGTGCTTCCTCCACGCAACTGGCTTGTAAATTGCACATCCTCATGAGGGGGTCATCTTAGCATTTCCCTTCCTCTCTCCTCTTCTCAAGCCTAAAATGCCAACATAAAGCCTTCCAACTGGGACAGGAGATAAGAAATGAGGAGGCAGCTGGGAGCATGAAATGGATCAGGGTGCAGAGGTAGGAACAGCCCATGGACATGCCTAGTGGCTGGACCAGTTGTGTGTGGTGGTGAGGCGGGAAAGGGTGAACCTCAATGCCAAGTCAACTTTCTTCTTTTTTGTTGGAAAATTGCAAACATATATTTGACACAGACTCAAATTCACACATGAAGAGAAGCCAGAGTCGAGAGCTGCAGGCCCCAGGTTCCAAACTGGTCAAAGAAAGCTCACTGTCATTGTAAATCTTCTACAGGAACACTCCTGGTATTGTGTGACCATTAAAGGTATGGGCTTTGGAATTGGTCCTGTCTGGTATTAACGCTCTGTTTCAGTACTTGGTAGGGATGTTGCGGTGAGTTTGAGTAGTGCCCTGCCCACCCCACTACCACCAAAAAAAATACATCCACCCAGAACCTCGGAATGTGACCTTATTGAGCCTAAGAGTCTTTGCAGAGATAATAAAGGTAAAGTTCTCTAGATGAGACCATCCAGGATTAAGTTGTGCCCTATATGCAGTGATAGATGTCCTCATAAGAGACAGAAAAAAGAAGACAGACACACAGGGAGGAAGCCCATGTGAAGACAGAGGCAGAGACGAGTGATGGAGTCACAAGCCGAGGAATGCCTGGAGCCGCCAGAAGCTGGAAGATGTTAGGAAGGATCCCCGCTAGGGCCTTCGGAGGGAGCACAGCCCCACCAACACCTCAATTTCAGACATTACACCTCTAGCACTGTGGGAGAATACATTTCTGTTGTTTTAGGCCACCAAGTTTGGCAGACCTAAAAACTAATAGGAGTGATGCCAGGCAAGCCATTTCATTTTACCTCTGTAAGACTATTTTCCCATCTTTAACATGTCTAAAATGGGTATGTATTAGGCTGTTCTCACATTGCTATAAAGAAATCTCTGAGACTGGATAATTCATGAAGAAAAGAGGTTTACTTGGCTCACCATTCTGCAGGCTGTACGGACAGCATGATGCTTGCATCTTCTCAGCTTCTGGGGAGGTCTCAGGAAGCTTACGGTCATGGCAGAAGGTGAAGGGGGAGCAGGCACCTCGCATAGCCAGAGCAGGAGCATGAGAGAGTGGGAGGAGGTGCCACACCCTTTTAAATAACCAGATCTCTTGAGAACTCACTCAAACATCAAGGGGATAGTGTTAAACCATTCATGAGACATCCCCCCCCCTCCGCCCCCACCACGATCCAATCATCTCCCACCAGGTCTCACCTTCAACACTGGGGATTACAATTGAACATGACAGTTGGGTGGGGACACACATCCAAACCACATCAGGGTGTCAGAATAATATCTGCCTTTCAGAGATGGCAGGAAGATTCAGGGCAGGCCTCTGTAAACAGTTGCTGCTATCATTGTAAATTTTATGAGCCCATCAATTACAGAAGGATGTCCATGAACAGACTCTCCCCATGCCCTGATAACAAATGTCAAGTGTGAGGAGAGAGAACATGGGGTGCAATGTGTCAATCTTGTGGACTGTAGCCCAGGACATCAGAGGTAGTAGGTAGGAAGGGTAAAAATGGTGAAACGCTGAGAGAGGGCAAAAGAAGAGTTCCTTCAAATGCTTCTGAGAGGGCCTGAGACCCAGCTGCACAGATCTCTGAGCCTCAGTTTGTTTTACTATAAAGTGGGGATAATAAAACCTCCCTCGTCAGGCTGCTCTGAGGATAAAAGGAAATTCCATGTGGAAAGTGCTTACAACAATTTCTGATATTTATTCACTCACTCCATTGATAATTGTAGAACCCTTCTGTATGCTGGGCACCATGCTAGGCACATGGAAAGCACTCAATGAATGGTCTCCACTGTTTTTATTTTTGTTACTGCTTTTTTTTTTTTTTTTTTTTGAGACGGAGTCTGGCTTTATCACACAGGCTGAGGTGCAGTGGCGTGATCTGGGCTCACTGCAACCTCCACCTCCTGGGTTCAAGCAATTCTCCTGCCTCAGCCTCCCAAAGTAGCTGGGATTACAGGCACATGCCACCATGCCCAGCTAATTTTTGTATTTTTACTAGAGACGGGGTTTTGCCACATTGGCCACGCTGGTCTCGAACTCCTGGCCTCAAGTGATCTTCCTGCCTTGGCCTCCCAAAGTGCTAGGATTACAGGCATGAGCCACCACGACTGGCTTGTTATTAATATTGGGTGGGCTGAGAACATCTCTACTGACTGGGCTTCCCTGACTGTGAAAGAAGGATGAGAAGAGATCATCCTTTCTCCTCCCCATCAATCCCAGTCAGCTCACAGATGTTCTCTTTGGCATGTCCCTTAGGGGCATCCATCCATCATGGAAATATTTTTCGAGACCACAAGGAGGGGAACGCTGTGGCCAACATTCCCCACCCCTAGGACCATGGGAATCTGCCCTGAGGACATGGCTCCATGGCTTCCCAGAAATACAACAGGAGTTGAAGGCCGCATAAATCTAGCAAAGTGACTTCAAGCTATTCAAGCTGCTCAGCTAAGAAATAGGACACAGGGATGTCACAAGTTCCACTGTGCTTCTGGACCCCAATAAGAAAAATCACTCCATTTGTTCTTTCATTTGTTCATTCTTCCAATAAACATTTTTTGAGCTTCCCTCTGTGTAAGAAGCTGTTCTAGGCTCTGAGAATTCAAAGAGGAGAATAAACAGACGGTATCTCTTCCATCATAGCAATAATAGCTCAGTTGATCATACATATAAATATATTATTGCAAACTATAAATAAGTACCCCGAGGAGAAGTTACCCATTGTGATAAGAGTGTTCACAAAAAGATCTAACCATAGAGTTCAGGAGAGGGGACTGATCAGGGAAGGCTTCCTTAAACTGAAGGCTGGAATACAATGAGTAGAAGCTTAAAAAGTCAGAGTGGGCATGGAGAAGGGTGCCAGGCAGTGGGAACAGCTTGTGCAAAGGCCCTGTGGTTGGAGGCTGAATTGCTGGAGGGCAGAAAGGAGAAAGGGCTTGTGGAGAACAAGGAATGAGATAGAACAAAGAGAGCAAGGGTGAGACTTGCAGGCTCTTCTAAACTTTGGAAAAGACCAATCCTTAATCACAGAGCAAACACTTACTGAGCACATCCTTGATGCCAGGTGCTGTGCCAAGTGTTTTGCATGATCGGCCTCTGTCAGTACTTGTCACAGACTTGTGAGGTTGTCACAGTGTACCTCAGCTCAATTTCACAGGTAAGAACCTGGGTCAAGGAGGTTTATTTACTTGCTCAAGCAGCAAAAGAAGTCCTTGCAAATATTTTAGCTCTGGGTTTTGGGGTTTTGTTTTGTTTGTTTGTTTCCTTAAGCAAAAGAAAGATAAGGAGAATTTTTGGAGTTTAGGGGGTTGGAGTAAGGTGGGGAAGGGGTCAGCATACATGACTTGAACACACTCCCCAGGAAAGTCAGATGGAACAGAATAATATTAACACTGCACATTTGAGTAGCACTTTCTCTTCTTTTGATAGTTCCCTCCAACTCTCAAGGTAATTATTATGATTATCCCATTTTCTTAAAGGGGTAAACTGAGGCAATGAAAAGCTGAATGCTGTGCTCTGAAACATAGAACTCATAAATTCTAAGAGCTAAAGCCAGAACATGAACTGCGTTTTATTTGACTCCTAAAGCAGGGCTCCTTCTGCTCCCTCCAACTTCTACTCTGGGGCTATCAGCCTTCCTTGCCTTGAGTGTGTCATCCTGGTCACCATCTCATGCTAAGACTCTTCTCATAAACTCACAGGGATTAATCAGAAGAGAGCATTTTCAAGAAGAGCTTTAATAAACTCTAACCTGGTTTCTGTACCCTTAAATAGCAAAGGATAAAACACAATGGTTTAACATAATTCCTAATAAGGAATTTTATTTTTTAACAGGAACTTTGTTATAGATCAGGATCCGTATTTTATCCTTGTCAGTCACACTTTTCACACCTGTAATCTTAGCCAAGTTTACCTCAACCTGAGTTTCAACTCCCTCGTTTTGTCAAAGGGGGCATTATTGCACACCTACTCACCAAGACAGCTGTGAGACTTACAGAAAACAATCCGTGTGAAGTCCTTGGTGCATAGAAAATGCTATGTAAAGTGAGCCCTTACTACTCCTATCCCAATGATTATTTCTATTATTAGCAATTACTGTTCATACCTTGTTGGGCAGTGACCCCACAGTTAAGAATGATGAATGAGCTGTCCTCAAGAACTTTCCAACTAAAAAGGAGGGCCAAGTATTTTCACAAGACAAGGCATCAGGCCATGTTGGAAAGACCTTTAACAAACAAGCTTTGAAACAACAGATAATAAATGACCTGATGAACTCTTTGTTAATCAGGGGAGACAAATGCATATGAACTTAAACCTGTGCAGTAGGCTGCTCACACGTGTTATAAGCTAACAGACAGACCTCTGCTGGGATATTGTGTATGCCCCACCCCCCCCACCCAATAACATCCCAAGAATATAATATCCCCTTTGGTTAGCTCAGGTCCCCCAGCCATAAAAAGAAAAAGCGGGTTTGACCGGGCACAATGGCTCACGCCTGTAGTCCCAGCCCTTTGGGAGGCCAAGGTGGGCGGATCACCTGAGGTCAGGAATTCAAGACCAGCCTGGCCAACACAGCGAAACGCTGTCTCTACTAAAAATACAAAAATTAGTCAGGTGTGGTGGCACATGCCTGTAATCCCAGCTACTCCGGAGGCTGAGGCAGGAGAATTGCTTGAACCCAGGAGGCGGAGGTTGCATTGAGCCGAGATCGCGCCATTGCACTCCAGCCTGGGCAACAAGAGTAAAACTGTGTCTCAAAAAAAAAAAAAAAAAAAAAAAAAAAAAAAAAGTGGGTTTACAGCTACCTTTTATGGAGCACTGTTTTTTCCCATATATTTACATACATTTGCTTACATTATATCCCAATTAAGCATTCTGTCAACCCTCTATGATATTTATTCCTGTTACTTCCGTTTTAGAGATGAGAACATTAAAGTTTGTTAAGTCACTTGTCCAAGTGACAGAACCAGGTTTTAAATTCTGGGCTGTTTGATTCAACACTCTTAGACCACTTTGCTCTACAGCCCCAATTATTGGCCTCCAAGCCCTCTCCAGCTCTAAAGATTGCACAGTTCTTGGGTATAAACCCATCCTTTGCACTGCTTCCTGAAAATCCTCTTTGCTGTTCTTCCTGGAAATCCTCTTGTAAACGTTATTCTTCCATATGTCAGCCTTGGCAGCCCCAGGCAGGGTCAGGGGACAGCCAGGCCAGAGAAGTTGAGTTTCACTAGCCATAAATCCTCTGTCTCCGACATGCCCCTTAACTGCTTATCTTTGGAAAACATGACCCAGCATAAGCCAGGGGAATAGCAGGCCGAGTCATGAAGCCACTGGCCAGGGAACACGAGGTATCCAGGGTTGTGTTCCCAACATCAGACTGTGCAATGTCAGCCATCCAACCCACTCTCCCTCCCCCCACAAAATGTTCTGGCCCAGAGAGATGTCACGGGAACATCACCATAGGTCTCTCATCTAGTCCCCAAGACATTCATTCTTGCCAGATACCCTCCCGGCCATTACCCTGCAGTTGTCCTTCACCCTCTGATGTGTTTCAGATGTGTAAATATGATATGAAAGCTCCAATTTCAAAGCCCCTGTGGACTGAGTCTTGGGCCTCTTGGGCCTTGGGTTCTGCACTAAGTGGCCTTTCCCATGGATGGATGGCTCCATCAGACATCCCTGCAGTGGGCCATCTTCCCAAAGGCCTTCAACTTCCTGACAGAAAGGGTACCAGAATCCCCTCACCCCAGAGTGAGACAAGGGGAAGAAAGCTGGGGAAAAGATTAAACTCTTGCTAACCTAGGGGGTGCACAATCAGAAAGCTCAAATGACCACACATTGGGTTGGAGGTGTAGGGGGAAGGAGAGTACCCAATAAACCTATAATTGTCAGAGACTGTTTCCTAAGAGCAACATCGGGGGCAGGGCTCCTCAAATCTGGCTGCACATCAACATCACATGGAGAGGGTTTTTAAAATACTGCTGCTTGGCCGGGTGCAATGGCTCACACCTGTAATCCCAGCACTTTGGGAGGCCAAGGAGGGTGGATCACAAGGTCAGGAGATCGAGACCATCCTGGCTAACATGGTGAAACCCTGTCTCTACCAAAAATACAAAAAACTAGCCAGGTGTTGTGGCAGGCACCTGTAGCCCAGCTACTCAGGAGGCTGAGGCAGGAGAATGGAGTGAACCCAGGAGGCAGAGGTTGCAGTGAGTCAAGATCGCGCCACTGCACTCCAGCCTGGGCGACAGAGCAAGACTCCATCTCAAAAAAAAAAAAAAAAAAAAAAATTGCTGCTTGGACCAACCCCTAGAAATTCGTATTTGATGAGCCAGAAGTTGGGCTCATTAAATGATGTTGGTAGTTGTTATTGTGTTTGTTCAAGTTCCTTAGGTGATTCCATTAGTTTTCTATTGCAACACAGCAAAGTACCCCACGTTTAGGGGCTTCAAAGAACACATAGTTATTATCTTATAGTTTCTGTGGGTCAGGAGCCCAGGAATGGCTTAGCTGGGGCCTCTGCTTCACGGTCTCATGAGGCTGTAATGAAGACGTTGGCCAGAGGTGGGATCTCATCTGAAAGCCCAACCGTGGATGGATCATCCACTTCCAAGCTTCTCAGGTTGTTGGCAAGAATCAGTTTCCTGCAGGTTGCAGGACTGACAGCCTCAGCTCCTTGCTGGCTGTTGGTTGGAGACTGCCCCCAGTTATTTTCCATGTGAGCCTCCTCATTGTGGCAACCCTCTTCACCAAAACCAGCAAGGGAGAGAGGCAGCTAACAAGACAGAAGCTACAATCTTATGCAACATAATTATAGAAGAGCCATCTCATGCCCTTTGCCATGTGCTATTGGCTAGGGCAAGCCACAGGTCCAGCCAACACTCATGGTATAAATATCCAGTGGTGAGATCATTTCAGGCCATCTTAGGGCCTGTCTACCACAGGGAAACTAAGATGCAGCCAATGTCAAGAACCATTCATTTTGGGCAGTGGTTTTCAAATCTCTCAAATCAGACTGGCACTTCTCATGCTTTAAAAAGCATATAAATCTCCTGGGAATCTTGTTAAAATGCAGATCCTGGCTGGCACCTGAGACTGCATTTCTGACTAAGTCCTAGGTGATGCCAATCCACTGATTCTCAAATGACACTTTGAGTCGTGAGGATCTAGGGACTGTCATGGGGCCAAATCATTTTTTTTAAGGTTCAATTCCCACACTGTTGTCAGTGTCACTAGGGTTAGAGCATCCTCCTCAGATGTTACCAAGTATAAAGCTCTCTTTATCAGAACATTGGATTAACAAGAATCTCATATTCAATAATGCATCACTGAACACATGCCCTACTTCTAGTCAAATGGGGTAGTAATAAAACCCTAACAATTTGTTTTTTGAGATATCTGTGTATCAATCGAGTTTATAAAATGTAAATCGGATCAGATTCCTCCTCTATGAAAAACCCACTTACAGCTCTTGTCTTACACAAAGTAGAATCCTTGCCATGGTTTATGTGGTCAGGCTCCTGGGATCTCTCTAACCTCATCTTCCTGTCATTCACTCTGCTTTGGCCACATGGGCCTCCTTGCTGTTCTCTAAATATGCCAAGCATGGCTAATCCCAGGGCCTTTGCACCTGCAGTCTCTTCTGCCTAGAATACCTTTGCTCCAATATTCACATGTATTGCATTCTCATGTCCCACCTGTCTCTGCTCAAATGTCACTGTATCATTTGATTGATACACACGTATCTCAAAAAAATTATTAGGATTGTAACCGAAATGCTGCTACAAAAACATGGTTATTACTATCTACCTATTATTGGCTTCAAATGAGATTAGGTTTACAAATAAAAGAAACAAACAGTGGGTTTCCAGTATGAGCCTTTTCAATCAAAAACTTTTAAGTCTCATACTTTCTTGATTCTAAAAAGTTTCTGAAATCCAATTATGTCTTAAAACTGATGCATACAGCCGGTATATCGTATTTTTTGTTTCTCTAAAACATCAATAATAACTTGGTGCCAATTATTATTATTGCAGTAATCTCATAACTGGCCCTGCTTCCTCCACCTGTGCCCTCATAGTTTACTCTCCACACAATTACCAGAGTTGTCTTCATGAAATCGAAGTCAGATTAGATTGCTCCTTTATGCAAAACCCACCCATTGATCTTGTCTTATACAGAGTAGAATCCTTACTGTGGTTAACATGATCAGGCTCCTGTGACCTCTGTGACCTCATCTTCCACCTCTCTTCCTGTCATTCACTCTGCTTTGGCCATACGGGGCTCCTTGCTGTTCTCTGAATATGCCAAGCCTGACCCGCCCCAGGGCCTTTGCACATGCAGTCTCTTCTGCCTAGAACACCTTTGCTCCAATATGCTCATGTACTGCGTCCTCATGTCCCACATGTCTCTGCTCAAATGTCACTTCATCAGGGAGGCCTTCCATAGCTACCTTATTTATAAAAGCACTCCTGATCCTGCTTTAGTTGCCTTTGTAATACTTATCCTTTCTTTCTTGTCTGACTCCCTAAACCAGAAGGTACACTCCCAAAAGGTGGGGCTTTGTCCACCTTATTCACTGCTGTATCTTTGGCACTTAAATAGCATCCAGCCCATAGGTATCACTTGAATATTTTTTGAAGGAATGATACATTGATGGTGTCCTTGAATTAAGAATCTATGATCTTTCGTTTTTTTTAAAGCCTTTTATAATGTGATTAGGTAAAAATGGCTGTCAACTGAATTTACAAATAAAGGATCTGAGGGTCAGAAAGATCAGGTCATTCACCCAGCTACCAAGCTGGTAAGTGGCAGAGCTGCCATTTGCATCCTTGTGGCTTGAAAGCCCCCAGGCCTTCCCACTACAACATTGAGGGCCAGATGTAAGGTCAGAAGGGACAACTCAGTCACAACTAAAGGGCAGAGTTGTTGTCCAGAGAACCAAGAGGGTTGGGAATCCCTAGGTCCCTGGCTATCTCCTCAGGAGCCTTAGCCACACTTGGCACCTGGAGGTAGGATACCAAATACCCAAACTAGATCTCAGGTGGAAACCAACACTGTTGCCATAGAAGATCCTCCAGGCCACAACCCAGAGAAGGGAGTGAGGAAGTCATTCACCCAGCTCTTCAGAACCTTGGGCAGAGAACTTTCCTCTGGGTGTGTCACACACCACCATCACGGTCCCAGAATGGAGACAAATAGCTCCTAAGTTGTTTTGTAAAAGTTTATTTAAATTGACCTAGATGAAACCACCTGTCATTTTAATGCCATATAAAATCCAAAACCAAAAAACCATGCCATGCATTGCCTTCCAAAACCTCTTAACAGTCCCTGCCAAGACACACACCAGCAACTGCCAGGATTTATAGGGAGGCTCTACAGACCTGTGTTTAAATCCTGTCGCTGGCACCTACCAGCTGTGTGACCTTAGGCAACATACTTAGCTTCTCTGTGCCTCATACAAAATGAGAATAGTTCTAGTCCCATAGGATTGTTGAGAGGATGCGATGAGATGGTCTATGTAAAGTGCTTGGTGCATACTAAGTACTCCATGAATATTAAGGCTTAATTTATTTTAAATCCATGAGGTGTGTTATCCTTTACTGAGTTTCATTTGTGAATACTTACGGTGTGCAGGGCTTCCACTGACATTATCTCATTCCATGCTCACAGCCACTCACAGTCCGGCTCCATGAATAGCCTTCTGTCCCAAAACATCTTCTCCATAGGGGAGAAATAGTATCATTCCAGCATGCAATCAACATGAAAAATGCATTCATGAGATATTTTACATTCTGAGTCATTGGTAGGTCTTTGAAATTCGGTGTGTGTTTCACACTTCAGCACATCTCCATGTGGACTCCCCATGCTGCAAGTGCCTGATAGCCACACATGGCTTGCGGCTATTACACTGTACTGGACAGCATGCAGTTTGTCCTGAATGCAAACTTTCGTAAGTGTTGTCTGAGATCCCAAAGCTTCTCTCTCCAACAAGTCCTTCCCTCCACCAGGAAAGCTCCTGTCTGTCTGCAATCAGCCAGCTGCTCCCAATAAATCTGGAGAGCCACAGAAGGGTGGAGAGCTCCTCCTCATTCTACCTATGGAGGGCCCAGCCCAGGCACAGTCTCCACCAGGCAGTAAGAGGAGGGAGATGCTTGCATTGCCTTTTTAAGTGTCTGTCCTCTCCTCCTAGCTCAGCACCAAATGAGAAACACAAGCCTATGAAGCCAGCATCTCAGTATAAATACATAACCTTACACAGTGGCGTGATGGGGATTGCAGCAAACCATGTTGCCCCATCTAAAAAATCCAACCCCAATCACCTTCTGTTGATTTGGTGCCAATTAGGACCATGCTATTAATGGAGCCGGACTATGAGTGGCTGTGAGCATGGAATGAGATAATGTCAGTGGAAGCCCTGCACACTGTAGTTATTCACAAATGATTCTCAATAAGGATAACACACCCCACGGATTTAAAATAAATTAAGCCTTAATATTTATGGAGTACCTAGTATGCACCAAGCACTTTACATAGACCATCTCATTGCATCCTCTCAACAATCCTATGGGACTAGAAGTCCAGTGTGGTAGACCAAATCCCACTTTTTCAAGTTAAGAAATTGAGATTGTTATATGAAATTTTCTGATGTTAGTGTTGGCTCAATAGTTTTTTTTTTTTTTTAAAAAGTAGACTTTATGTTTTTAGAGAAGTTTTAGGTTCACAAAACTGGGAAGAAAGTACAGAGATTTCCCATACACCCTCTTCCCCCACACATGCACAGCATCCCTCATTACTAACATCCCTCACCAGACGGTGCAGGTGCTACCATCAGTGAACCTGCACTGACAAATCACTACCAAACAAACTCCACAGTTTGCATTAGAGTTCATTCTTGGTGTTGTACATTCTATGGGTTTAGACAAATGTGTAATGACATTGATATGGTTTGGCTGTGTCCCCACCCAAATCTCACCTTGAATTGCAAGAATCCCCACGTGTCAAGGGCAGGGGCAGGTGGAGATAATTGAGTTATGGGGGCAGATTGCCCCATACTGTTCTCATGGTAGTAAGTCTCACGAGATCTGAAGGTTTCATAAATGGGAGTTCCCCTGCACCACTTCTCCTGCCTGCCGCAATGTAATACATCCCTTTGCTCTTCCTTCGTCTTCTGCCATGATTGTGAGGCCTCCCCAGTGATGTGGAACTGTGACTCCATTGAATATCTTTCCTTTATAAATTACCCAGTCTTAGGTATGTCTTTATTAGCAGCATGAGAAACTAATACAGGCAGGTATCTCCCATTTTAGTATCATACAGAATAGTTTCACTGCACTGAAAATCCTCTATACACTACCTATTTATCCCTCCCTCCCCAAGTCCCTGGCAAACACTAATCTTTTCACTGCCTCCATCGTTTTGCCTCTTCCAGAATGTCACATAGTGGGAAGAATACAATACGCAGCCTTTCCAGACTGGCTTCTTTCACTTAATAATACGCATGTAAGTTTCCTCCATGTCTTTCATGTCTTGATAGCTCATTTCTTTCTAGTGCTAAATAATATTTTATCGTCTGGATGTACCAGTTTATTTATCCATTCACCTACTGAAGGACATCATGGTTGCTTCTAAGATTTGGCAATTATGAATAAAGCTGCTATAAACATCCGTGTGCAGGTTTTTGTGTGGACATAAGTTCTCAAGTCCTTTGAGTAAATATCAAGGAGCACAATAGCTGGACTGTATGGTCAAAGTATGTTTAGTTTTGTAAGGAACTGCCACACTGTCTTCCAAAGCAGCTGTACCACTTTGCATCCCTGCCAGCAATGCATGAGTGTTCCTGCTGCTCCACATCCTCACCAGCATTTGGTATTGCCAGTACTCTGGATATTGGCCATTCTAATAGGTGTGTAGCGGTATCTCACTGTCTTTCAAATATATTTTGTTAAATACCCAATGAGCTCCCCTAAAAGGGAAAAAGAAAAGACTTCTACTTTAACCAACACTTCTGTTCTAGGATGGTGAAACTGACAGTGTTGTTCAGAGTAGATCTGCAAAGTAAGGTGCACAAGCTCCAAGGAAGTGCCAAATGATCCACTGGGAAGCAGGAAAATAATAGCACTTGGATTTGGGATTTGTGGTGTTCAAGTTCTGGTTTTGTGTATCCTGTGTATTTATAATGCAGCAGACACCATGGGGCCATATGTCACAAACCTTTGGCTCACCGCAGTTTTGGCTGCAACCACAGTAGATGTTTGCATTAAGCTGGGTTTGCTTTGACAATGCCCCACCCCAGACTCACTCAACTTTCTGCCTTGTGCCCCAGGGCTTTGGCTTTTTGTAGCGCTTGTTCCACCTGTGCAGCCCCAGAAGTGCAGGGACATGGACAGTCCCGGGGGGCAAAGCTCCACTGGTGGGAGGCGGAAGCAGGTAGATAAACACCTTAGCTTCCTGTTCTCTGGACAGAGAATTCCAGGAGACAAAAAATCAAGCCCAGTGTCCACAGTGACAACCCACTCAGTAACCCATTATTATATTGATTTGCCTCTGTCCTGTATCTCTTACCCCAACTGCCTCACTCTTGCTACCTGGGACCACCTTCAATAAGCTATCTGTACCTAAGCAATTGTTACAGGCCCTGTTATAAGAGGAATGTGAACCAAGACAGCATGCAATAAATTAATACAGTCATTCATGGATATAGTTAAACATAAATAGATGTACATGCATTGGCAGTACATGTGCAAAAACAAATTTACTGATAATGGTATAGAATAAAAAATGTGTAGATCATGCCTCTAGTGCATTCCATATGTGGAGATTAGAATGAGTCCCATGCAGGATGTTGTTGTTGTCGTTGTGTGAGTGTTGTGCTATACTTTGTCACAGGAGCATACAAATTGCCCTACCTGTGGCTGAACATTTTTAGAGGACATGGTTTCTGGCATATTTTTTGACAATAGACTATTTTTTAGAGGAGTTTTAGGTTTACAGAAAAATCACACAGAAAGTACAGAGGGTTCCCATATACTCCCCTCCCTATCTCACCTCCCACACCTCCCTGTTATTAATACCTTTGCATTACTGTGGTGCATTTGTTGTGATTGATGAACCAATACTGATACACGTCCATAGTTTACTTTAGGGCCCAGTCTTTGTGTTGTACAGTTCCGTGAGCTATGACAAAGTTTTTTTTTTTGCTGTTTTCTTGTTGTTCATTTTTTAAGAAACAGGGTCTCACTCTGTTTCTTACTTACTTACTTCTGTCACCTGGGCTGGAGTGCAGAGGCACAATCATAGCTCACTGCAGCCTCGAACTCCTGGATTCAAGTGATCCTCCCATCTGAGCCTCCCAAGTAGCTGAGACTAAAGGCATGCACCGCCACACCAGGCCAATTTTTTATTTTTTGTAGAGATGGGATCTCCCTATGTTGCCCAGGCTAGTCTCAAATTCCTGGCCTCAAGCCATCCTTCCCCCTTGGCCTCCCAAAGTGCCGGGATTATAGGCGCAAGCCACTGCACCCAGCCAGCTTTGACAAATGTGGAATGACAAGTATTCACCATTATGGTATCATACAGGATAATTTCACAGCCCTGAAAATCCCCTGTACTCTGCCTATTTACCCTTCTCTCCCTCCTCCCAACCCTCTGGCAACCACTATTCTTTCCATTGTCTTTATAGTTTTGCCTTTTCCAGAATGTCACATAGTTGGAACCATCCTATACGTAGGCTTTTCATCTTGATCTTTCCCACTTAGAAACATGCATTTAAATTTTCTCCATGGCTTCTCATGGCTTGCCATGTCACTTTTGATTGATGAATAACATTCCACAGTGTGGATGTCCTGCAGTTTGTTTATCCACTTACCTCTTGAAGGACATCTTGGTTACTTTGCCATTTTTCATTTTAGGCTTGTTGTCTTTGTCATCTTGGGTTGCTATAACAAAATACCATAGACTGGGAGGCTTAAACAATAGACACTTATTTCTCATCTCATAGTTCTGGAGGCTGGGAAGTCCAAGATCAAGGTGCCAGTTGATCCAGTTCCTGGTGCAGAATCTTTTCCTGGCTTGTAGACAGCCATCTTCTTGTGTCCTTGCCTGGTAGAGAAAGGAAGCTCCAGTGTCTCTTTCTCTTCTTATAAAGGTACTAATACCCTCATGAAGGCCTATACTCATGACCTCACCTAAGCCTGATTATCTCCCAAATGCCTCATCTCCTAATCCCAGTACAAAGGGGGCTGGGGCTTCAGCATATGAGTTTTGAGGGTATGCAAACATTCAGTCCACAACACTTGTTTTCCCCAAGTCTCCTGGGGGCCAGGCCAGGCTTCCAGCCCATGGGGTCCCCAGCCAGAATCAGCCATACGCTCCCAGGAGGCATTGTACCCTCCCCATCCTGTCCAAGAAGGCCCCTCTGTCACTCATTCCAACAAACTTCCTGGAAGTCCCTCCTATCATTTTCCAGATAGACCCAAGTGTGTCTGAATGACTGTGGCAAAGCATCTCAAGCCCAACTTTAAAATAGCCACCCACACCACCCAGAAAGGGGAATGGGATGGAGAGATGTTCATGTTTCTGAGCTCCTTCTCCAAAAATCATGTTTTTCAAAGGCTACTGGGCTCTGATAAAATATAGAAAGCCATATGAATACACAATTAAAACATCAATAGTCAATTGAGGATCACATAGAGAAAATCATTAAAGAGTGTGACTTTGGTCACACACACCTCACCTACCAACAGGGCAGGCCCCAGCCTGGGTTCCCTCTGCCGTGTTAAACCCAGCTCGACTGCCTCCACCACCAGCATCATCCCAGCTTCCCAATATATAGGGTGACAGCTCCCTGTCTCCAAACCAAAGGGATCATTCAAACTCCAGACCACCATGACACAGTTACAGCTTTTTCTAGGCCCCATCTGGGGTTTCACATAGACCTTAGGAGGTTCTCTGTTGGTGTGTCAACATGTCCTATGACACCCCTTGAGGACTTAGAAGGTCATAAAGTGTTAACTCTATAAGGATCTTTCTAGATCCTCTCTACCCAACTCTCTATTTTAGAGGAGAGTCCTCTGAAAGTCACATAGAAGAAATGACATGCAGTCACACAGTAAGTTAATAGCACAGGTTGAGCAAGAATTGATGCCCCAGACTCCTGGACAAGGATGATTTTCCTTCTTAATTTCCCCAACAATTAAGAAATAGAAAAGAACTGCTACCAACGTGCATTCTGAATCTCAGTTGTCAAGCTGTGTCATTGAGTAATCTTTTGGTTTAAGATAACAGGAAGTAAAATTAAACAATAAAGAGAAAAGGGAAGGATTCAGGTGTGGCTTGATCCAGGCACTTAATGCTGTCATCAGGATTCTTCTCTGACTGCCTTACATAGTGTCGTCTTCATCCTAAAACTGGATATTCCTGAAGTCAACAAGAAAAATCCTAAACCTTACTCAGACTTGACCCTTTTCGTTACACACCCAATCTAATCCAATCGCCAGGAAGAGGGATGGAATTACTGGCCCAGTGTGATTTGGGCCTGTCAGAGTCCAACCCTGCAGCTAAATATGAGCTGTGTCCTTCCACTCTAGCGGCTGCTGCCCAGCAATGAAAAGAGGGAATCAATGCTAAGGGGGCTACCAAAGAGATCACCCTGCAGCCCTTCCCAAAGACTAAAGAATAGCCTGAAGGTCTACAGGCATTGAGCTCTCTGTATCTTCATAAAATATTGACATGTTCCTGTTTTGTCTGACTCCCTAGGGTGAGTTTGCCTAAATCTGTAGGCAGACCCTTCCATGGAAATAAACACCACTGGCTTTCAGAGAATCAGTCTCCCCAAGCTGCTGATAGGCCTGGAATTAATCACAAAATTCCAGTCCCTTATTTTGCTCTTGTGGGCAAATAATGCGAAATGCCATAGACTTTTTGTTGGTAACTCCAACAAAGGGCTCTTTCCACAACCAGCTTCTGATTCATGATTCCACAACTTTCTCAAGTGGAATGCACATTCCACTAAAATTCCAGGATGGCTAGGTGGATCGCCAGGCTCTCTGATCCACCTGAGAAGGTGAAATTAAAAAAAAAAAAAAAAAAAAAAAAAAAGTGAGTCCCTCTCTCTTCTCTGTCTTGTTGCTCCTATAAAGGATTACTAAAATTTTTAAATAAATGCATCCTTTAAGCAAGTACATGGTTGTTGTGAAAACCTTAAGCAATAATATAGAAGCATAAAGAGTAAAATAGTTCAGGCCCTCTTTTTTCTCCCCCAGTCCCACCTCCTCTCCAGATTTGGACGCTGTCCACATTTTAGTATGTGTTCTTCCAGACATTCTCTTGTGCATTTATCTACAGCTGTATAGACACACATAAATATGCTCTTTTGGGTTTGGAGGTTTTTTTACTCACACAGTATTTTTAATATACATGTGTTTCTAAAAATATTTAAGAATGTGGTGGCTCATGCCTGTAATCCCAGCACTTTGGGAGGCTGAGGTGGGCAGATCACTTGAGGTCAGGAGATCGAGACCAGCCTGGCCAAAATGGTGAAACCCCGTCTCTAATAAAAATACAAAAAAAAAAAAATGGTCAGGCGTGGTGGCACATGCCTATAATCCCAGCTACTCGGGAGGCTGAGGCAGGAGAATTGCTGGAACCCAGGAGGCAGAGGTTGCAGTGAGCCGAGATCATGCCACTGCACTCCAGCCTGGGGGACAGAGTGAGACTCAGTCTCAAAAAATAAAAAATAAAAAATAAAAAATAAAATTATACCTTGAAGATCTGCCCGCTGGAGATATACCTGTATCAGCCCATACACATCTACCTCATTCCTTTTAACAGTTGTATAGAACTCTCTTGTATGAATGGACGATGGTTCAGTTAATTCCAGTGCTGGGAATTCATATATATTAACTGATTTTAATCTCAGATAGTCTCTGTCTTTCATCCCTCCTTCTTTCCTCATCACTCCCTCTACATCCCACTAGCTTCTTGGCTCTTCCTCAAACACACCAGGCAGGGTCCTGCCTCAGGCCTTTGCGCTGGCGGTTCTCTGCCTGGAATGCCCAGATAGTCACACGTCTCTCTCCCTCACTTCCTAGTCTTTACTGGAGGACATTATGTTAAATGTCAGGACATTATGAAATAAGCCAGACACAGAAAGACAAATATTGCATGTTCTCACTCATATGTGGGAGCCAAAAAAAAAATGAAAATTGAACTCATGGCAATAGAGAGTAGAATGATGGTTACCAGAGGCTGGGAAGGGTAGTGGGAGGGGGGTATTAAAAGGAGACGGTTAATGGGTAAAAAATAGATAGAAAGAATAAGATCTAGGCCGGGCGCGGTGGCTCATGCCTGTAATCCCAGTACTTTGGGAGGCCCAGGTAGGTGGATCATCTGAGGTTATGAGTTCGAGACCAGCCTGGCTACCTGGGGAAACTCTATCTCTACTAAAAATACAAAAATTGGCCGGACAAAAAAAAAAAAAAAAAAAAAAAAAAAAAAAATTGGCTGGGCGTGGAGGCACATGCCTGTAATCCCAGCTACTCAGGAGGCTGAGGCAGGAAAATCGCTTGAATCCAGGAGGCAGAGGTTGCAGTGAGCCGAGATCATGCCACTGCACTCCAGCCTGGTGACAGAGTGAGATTCCATCAGAGAGAGAGAGAAAGAGAGAAAGAGAGAAAGAGAGAGAGAGAGAGAGAGAGAGATCTGGTATTTAGTAGCATAATATGGTGACTATAGCTAATAATTTATTGGATATTTTTAAATAACTAAAAGAATAGAATGTTCTTAACACAAAGAAATAACTGATCACCACACATTGTATGCCTGTATCAAGACATTACATGTACCCCATAAATATGTACAACTATTATGTATCCATAATTAAAATTTTAAAAAATTAAATATTAAGATCCATAACAATAAAAACAAACAAAAATAACAAAAGCTACTACCTTGTCAATGAGACTTTCCCTAGCCACCTATCCAAAATCCCAAACTCTCCACCTAAATCTTCATTCCCCAATTCTGTTTTTTGTTGTTGTTGTTCTTCCTCACCACTTAACACTGGCTCATATATTTTCTGTCACCCCTCAACCAGAATGTCATTGTCCACCAGGACAAGGGTTTTGTCTGTTTTGTTTATTGCTCTGTCCCCATTCTGGATCAGCACCTGCACATACAAAGTGCTCAATAAACACCTGTGGAATAACTGAACAAATGATGGTGGTGTGTAATTAGTACTACTCTTAGTCCTGTCTTACTAAAGAGGAAACTGAGGCTCAGAGGGAGGATGAGGACATGTATGGTCATAAGTCTTAACACACCAAATGCAAGTATTTTATCCCTCAAAGCCATCAACTGGGCTGGGCACAGTGGCTCATACCTGTAATCCCAGCACTTTGGGAAGCCAACGCAGGAGGATTGCTTGAGTCCAGGAATTCAAGACCAGCCTGGGCAACATAGCAAGACCCCATTTCTACAAATAAATTTTAAAAATTAGCCAGGCCTGACGGTGAATGTTTGTACTCCCAGCTGCTTGAGGGTGGTAGGATTGCTTGACCCTGTCAGGTCGAGGCTGCAGTGAGCTGTGATAGAGCCACTGCACTCCAGCCTGGACAGCAGAGCAAGACCCTGTCTCAAAAAAAAAAAAATCAACTGTAGTCTTAGTTGTTGCTTGAATTCTTTTGATTCACTCGTATAATAAATATTGGTTGAGTTTTTACAATGAGTTTGGCTCTCTAGGAGGTTTAGGTGACAACTCAGTTCCTGCCCTCAGAAGTTTAATTTGGTGGATGAATAAGACTAGAAAAATGAGTGACAATTCTGAGGCTATTCAGGGTCAAGTGAGCAGCATTAACAAGGCATAGGGGCTAGGAAGGCTCCCTGGAGGAGGTGGCATTTAAGGTGCAACCTGACTATGCACAAAGCAAAGTGTACTCTAGGAAGAAATTGATGTGCAGAGTCCTGGAGGCTAGGAAGAGAGAGGAATTAAGTACATACAGGCCTGGACTAGAGAAGGAAACTGATTGCATTTACCAAAAGGTCCTTTCCTCTACGATCCTTCTGTGTGTTGCCTGCTTGAAAAACCCAACCATTCCCAGCCACCATTAATAGGGAGAGCTGGGACACTTTGCTAGCGCTTAAACTGTCCCTGACACTTCCAAATGCTGGGGGCTCCTTCTGCTTTAATCCATGGAATTAGCTTCTGGCCTCACTGGCACCGTCCCCTGAATTGCTGGAGGGCAGAGGTCAAGGCATTAAGCAGGGTAGATTAATACCCGGCCATAAATCCCAGAAGCTGCATTTAAGCGGCAGTCATATTTCACACGGGATCACCCCAGCCATTGATCGGCCCATCTTTTGGAGTGTGTGTGTGTGTGTGTGTGTGTGTGTGTGTGTGTGTGTGTCCCCCGGGCCATGTTTACGAGCCTTGCTGAGCCCTCCTGGGCAGCGCCCCCCACATGTCGCCCTTTGATCAGGGAAATCCAATACCTGAGGTCTGGGCTTTATGGGCACGTAAGTCTAGATTAAGAGAATTAACCACAGTGGATCACAACTAATAAAATGGTGCCTGGGCCCCACCACAGCGTGGCCCTGGTGGACAGGTAGAGGGCGGAAGGGATGGGGGAGAATGGCTACCCAGCATCCCGCCCAGGGCCACCACTCCCCTGTCCAGCCCACAGCTGCGCTTGGCAAGGGTGTGTGTGTGTGTGTGTGTGTGTGTGTGTGTGTGTGTGTGTGAATGCGTGCTTTAATCTAAATTCTCTTGTACATTTCTTTTTCCTGTTCTACATTCTTTCTTTTATGTGACAACACAGATTCAACATTTCCTCAAAAAAGAGGGACTCCTAGGCAACCTGTTTGTTTCTTTCTGCATTCAGTCATTCATTCATCAAATATTTACAATGAACAGATGAAGTAGACAGTGTTGTGAGTTAAATATTATCCCCTGAAAAGATATGTTCAAGTCCTAACCCTCAGCACTTATGAATGTGAAATTATTTGGAAATAGTGTCTTTGCAGATATAATCCAGTTAATATAAAGTCATATTGGATTAGGGTGGGCTCTAAGTCCAATGATTGTTGTCCTTAAAAGAAGACAGAGAAAGGCACACAGGGCAGGGACCATGGGAAAACAGAGGCAGAGAGTGGAGTGATGCTGTTGCAAGCAAAAAAAAAAAAAAAAAAAAAACACAAACACCAAGAACTTCCCAAGAAGCTGAGGATGAGGACGAGGCATGGAACAAATTTTCCCTCTGAGCTCCACAAAACAAACTAATGCTGTTGACATCTTGGTTTTGGACTTCTGGCTTCCTGAACTGTAAGAGAATAAATTTATGTGGTTTTAAGCTACCCAGTTTTTGATATTTAATTACTGCAGCTCTGGGAAACTAATACAGGCACTGCAGATGCAACCGAGAGCAAATCAGACTCTGCTTCAACCTTCAGGAGACTCCAGTCTTCCTGGAAGACAGACAGGGATGAGGCAGGTATAATTCAAAGTGATGAGTTCTGGAAAAGACAGAGCTCAGGGCCATCTGGAGGGCACAGGAGGACGACCTAGCATGGAGGTATCATGGAAGGCTTCCAGGAGGAAGTGAGATTTATGCTGAAGCCTAAAGATGATTGGAGTTGGCTAGGCAAAGGATGGGAGGGAACAGTGCTCAAGGCAGAGGGACTAGCCAAGGAGAGGGTTAAGAGGAGAGAGAGAAAATGCAGCCTTTGAGGAGATTAGAGAAACTCTAGCTGCTAGGAGTGGAAAAGAGGGATGAAGCTAAGAGAGATTTTCCAACTAGTCCATTTGAGCTGCTATAACAAAATACCTCAGACTGAGTAGCTTATAAAGAAAAAGAATTTATTTATTTTTGAGACTGAGTCTCACTCTGTTGCCCAGGCTGGAGTGCAGTGGCATGATCTCAGCTCACTGCAACCTCTGCCTCCCAGGTTCAGGCAATTCTCCTGCCTCAGCCTCCCAAGTAGCTGGGACCACAGGCATGAGCCATAACGCCTGGCTAATTTTTGTATTTTTAGTAGAGACGGGGTTTTACCATGTTGGCCAGGCTGGTCTCGAACTCTTGACCTCAGCTGATCCACCCACCTTGGCCTCCCAAAGTGCAAGGATTACAGGCATGAGCCGCCATACCTGGCTAAAAGAATTTACTTCTCACAGTTCTGGAGTCTGGGAAGTCCAAGATGAGGGCAGATTTGGTGTCTGGTGAGGACCGCTTTCTGGCTTGTGGATGGCGCCTTCTCACTGTGTCCTCACGTGGTGGAAGGAACAAGGCACCTCCTGGGAATCCATTTTTCATAGGCACTTATCCCTTTCAAGAAGGCTCTACCTCCATGACTGAATCACCTCCCAAAAGCTTCACCTCCTAATACCATCACCTTGAGGGTAAGGATTTCAACATAGAAATTAGGGATGGGGCGCAAACATTCAGAGCATAGCAGTGAGGGTGGGTGGGTGCCCAGCTGGGGAGGACCCTGTAAGGAGTCCTCAGGGCTAAGGAGCTTGGGTTTATCCTACGAGTAGAGAGAAGCCACCAAGGAGGTGAGCGATGTAGCCGGGGCTGTGGTTAGAGGTTATTCTGACAGTGGTATTGTGTTAATTGCAACACTGCTAAGTGAGGCTGGGGTGCCTGAGGGTGAAGTAAACACCATGTAGGATTCTGCCTATTAAGGGCTCAGGGCTTCAAAGCCCCATTCCTATCATCCTTCACTCCTAAAATGTGGAAAGTTCTGTAAAAGGACTTCCTGTGCTCCCAAGCTGTGCATATGGCCTATGAGTTATCTCCCAGGCAGCACAGCCACCCAGGCGGAATGATGTCATCTCCACCACCGAGCCCGCGTGCCCGGCGCTGAGTTGGTGTTCAGCAAACACTCCTTGAGTAAATACTCTGTATGTGAGTCCGATGGGAGCATCTTTAGTTAGGACTTACTGGGACGTGATCCGGTTTGGTGATCTGCCCTCAAGCTGGACCAAGGGTGTCTGCAGCTCCACTAAGGCTATTGCCGAGTGTTTGCCAAATTTGCCTGCCTGGTACAAGTGCTGGACCTGCATCAAAGTTCAGTCGCTGCTTCTTAGAACATATTGTAGTCTTGCACACTGGTTTTTTTTTTTTTTTTTTTTTAAGACGGAGTCTCACCCTGTCACCCAGACTGGAGTGTGGTGGCATGATCTCGGCTCACTGCAACCTCCACCTCCCAGGGTTCAAATGATTCTCCTGCCTCAGCCTCCCGCGTAGCTGGGATTACAGGCACCTGCCATCATACCCATACTGAATATGTATGAATCAATGGCTGGGATTTGGTAATCATACCCAGCTAATTTTTATATTTTTAGTAGAGATGGGGTTTCACCATGTTGGCCAGGCTGGTCTCAAACTCCTGACCTCATGATCCACCTGCCTCAGCCTCCCAAAGTGCTGGGATTACAGACGTGAGCCACCACAACTGGCCTGCACACTCTTTAATGAGCTTGAAGACAAGTTCAAAATGGCATTCTGTCTGTAATAGCAGAGCTGAGACTGGTATGGAGTAATGCAAAGTAAAGTCATGGCCGGAATAGGGCAAGGGCACAAGAGCAAGCATTTATTGAGCACCTACTGTATGCACAGTATATCAAAGTGCTTTGCAGATGCCTTCCTTGTCTAATCCACCCAACAGGCCTGCAATGCAGGTGTTCTCATCATGCCCAATTTACAGAAAAGCAGGGTGGCTGCAAGGAGGCGACATGCTGAAGGTCCCACAGCTTGTGAGCAGTAGAGCTGTGCTGAAAGTTCAGGCTCTTCTTTCTCCCTTCTGAGTTTCAAACCCGAGGGCAGGCAAGGGAGGATCAAGGAGAAGAGATAAATCAGGCAGAGGTTTGGCCTCCATTTACTTTGGGAGGCTAGTGGAGGGAAGGGCGCCTTCACTCCCACATATCACTGGGACATGAGCACCATCCCGCTGTCTACCCTGGCAGGGGTACAGGCTCCACACTCAGTGGGAAAACAAATCCCAGCCATTGATTCATACATATTCAGTCCTCTTTAAGGGATAGCCATGTCTGGGTTGGCAAAGCAGGAAACAGATCGACTCTTGAAGCTGAGTCTAATGCTTTAGACAATGACCCCACATTCAAGTGTGATCTACTGACAAAGGTCCTCCCTATACATGGTGAGCCCTTCCCCTTCCCCCTTCTCTCTTCCCACTGCACACACCGTGACTGCAGGCTTTATTCAAACAATAAGAAAATTAAAGAGGTGTGACAGGCAGAATAACAACCCTCCAAAGACGTCCACTTCCTAATCCCCAGAACCTGTAAATATGCTGGGTGACAGGGCGAGGAGGTATTAAGGGAGCAGGTGAAACCGAGGTTGCTCGTCAGTTGACCTCAACATAGGGAGATGACTCTGGATTATCTGGATGGGACCGATGTAATCACAAGAGTCCATGCAGGCTGGGCATGGTGGCTCATGCCTGTAATCCCAGCACTTAGAGAAGGCCAGGTGGGAGGATCGCTTGAGCCCAGGAGTTCCAGACCAGCCTGGGCAAAATAGTGCAACTCTATCTCTTAAAAAATAAAATAAAAAATTAATTAGCCAGGCATGGTGGCACATGCCTATAGTCCCAGCTACTCCAGACTATAATTGAGAGGATGAGGTGGGAGAATGGCTGAGGTGGGAGGATCACTTGAGCCAGAAAGGTTGAGGCTGCAGTGAGCTACGAAGCAAAATGCTGTCTCAAAAAAAAAAAAAAAAAAGGGTAAAGGGTGAGGCAGGAGAGTCAGTGGCAGAGTGAGATGATATCAGAAAGACTCGACCAGCCATTGCTGGCTTTGAAAATGAAAGAGGCCATGAATCAAGGAATGCGGGTAGCCTCCAGAAGCTGGAAAAGGCAAGTAAATTGATTCTTCCCTAGAGCTTCCAGAAGGAACAGAGCCCTGCTCACACCTTGACTTTAGCCCAGGGAGGCCCATTTCTGACCTGCAGAGCTGCAAGATAATAATATTTGGGGTCATTTTTACAGCAGGAGTAGGAAACGAATACTAGAGGGGAGGCTGGGATAGACATGGAGCCTATGAGTGATGAGTGTGGGCAAAAATGCATGTTGTCGGCCTAGATTTGGGCACGGTTCATTCATTCATTCATCCATTTACCCACCCTCATCAATAATGTCCCGTGTGCCCCCAGCATCATGCTGGGGATAATAATGGTGAACAGAGGACCTTGTGACATTTACATTCTATCCAGGGAATGGTCGTTGAACAAATAATTGGATAACTAACAATGCAATTATTAGTTGATTGTGTACTAAGTCCATAAACTGGGAAAATGTCGTCAAAAATACTGCACTAATCAGTCTGCAACAATGATGCCCATTCATGGGGCTGAGAGTCAATGAGAATACTATCAAGTACGGGATGCTCACTCATCCATTCAAGCATTTACTGAGCACCTACTGTGTGCCAGGCGAGGTGCTGGGCTCTGGGGATACCTGGATAAACAAGACAGAGTCCCTGGTCTCATAGAGTTTAAGGTCCAGTGGGGGATACACATCAAACAGATATTCACACGGTTAAGTAACTCATTGTAATGTTGATACATAAAGAAAGGGGACATGACCTAAATTGGGAAAAGCCAGGGAGGACTTCTCAGAGGACGTGGTTGGACTGGGATGGAGGAAGAAGGGGACTGTACCTCAGCATGCACCTGGTGAGTCCACAGAGGGCCAATCACACAAGGCTCTGAAGATTAAAGGAAGGTTTTGGGGCTTTCTTCTCTGAGCAATGGGGATGCACAGAAAGGTTTCAAGCAAGAGGACACGATCAGATGTTCACCCTAAAACGATTGCTTTTCTGCTGGATTGGGAAAAGATGGGCAGGGAGGCCAGCGTGGAGAACAGGAGATGAACAGGAGGCTATTGCCCTGGCCCAGGCAGCAGCACTTGGGGCTGGCTGGTGTGAGCAGTGCAAGGGAAGAAGGATGGTTCCAGGATGGGTCGCAAGACTCTGGCTTGGGCAATGTCATGGATTGAATTCTGTTCCTCAAAAAGATATGTCCAAATTCTAACATCCAAGACCTCTGATTTTGACTTTATTTGGAGAAAAGGTCTTTGCTGATGTAATTGGTCAAGCTAGAATGAAGTCATGATGGGTTAAGGTGAACCCTCACCCAATGACTGTGTTCTTTTAGAAGAGGAGAGGACACAGCGACACACACAGTGGAGAAGAAGTCTACGTGAAGATGAAGGCAGAGATTAGAGGGATGCAATCACAAGTGGAGGGACGCCAAGCATTGCCGGGAGCCACAGAAGCTGCGAGAGGCAAGGAGGCATTCCTCCCTAGGGTTTTTGGTGGGGGCACGCCCTGACAACACCTTCATTTTAAACTTCCAGCCTCCAAAACTGTGAGGGTACATTTCTATTGTTTTAAACCACCTAGTTTGTAGTGATGTGTTACAGCAGCCCAGGTTACCAAGACGGGCAATGACAGCTGTCACCCACCTGCCCTGTCAAAGCCACCTCTCCCTGCACTGTTGCAGAAGCCTCCTGCATGGCCTCCCTGTGTCCAGCCTGGTCCCTCCACCATCTATTCTCCACCCAAAGCCAGTGGCATCCCGTGAAACCCGAGATCCCATTCCTCCTCTGCTCAACCTTCCATTTGTTCCCCATCTTTCTCAGGATCAAGGCCCAAGTTCTACCATGACATACAAGGCCCTCCATAAACTCTCTGGCTTCTTTTCCCTATGTTTTCCCTCCCCGAGTGATGCCTTGGGGTCTTTGCACTGGCCACTTCTACTCCCTGGAACCACCTCCCCAGGTATCCTCATGGCTCACTCCCTTCTTCCCACAAGGCCTCAAGTGTCTCTTTATCCAAGACACTTTCCCTGGCCTCCCACCATAAATCAGCAATGCCCATCCCCACAAATGGGTGTGACAGGCAGAATAACCACCCTCCAAAGATGTCCACAACTCAATCCTACTTTATCTTTCTCCATAACTCTCATTTCCACGGAGCATGCTACCTGTTTACTTGTTCACTTAGTCACTGCCTGTCTCCCTCATTGTCCTATATATCCATTAGAGCAGGGACCACTGGCTTTGTTTGCCACTGCATTCTCAGCACCTGGAACAGGGCCTGGCACATAAGTATTTGTAAAATACATAAATAGCTTATTTACTGAGATGGGGAGCACTGAAAGAGGATCTTTTGGCAGGGGGACTAGTATGAGTTCATTTCAGTTAAATGCCACCATTGACTGAGGCACCAGTTAAGTGCATTCTCATTTTTGGTAATAAAATCCAACTTTTGGCCAGGTGCAGTGGCTCACACCTATAATTCCAGCACTTTAGGAAGCCGAGGTGGGCAGATCGCCTGAGCCCGGGAGTTTGAGACTAGCCTGGGCATCATGGCAAAACCCCATCTCTACAAGTACATACAAAAAATTCGCTGGCCATGGTGGTGCATGCCTGTAGTCTCAGCTACTTGGGAGGCTGAGGTGGGAGGATTTCTTGGGCCCGGGAGGGCAAGTGTGCAGTGAATTGTAATCATGCCACTGCACTCCAACCTGCGCAGAGTGAGACCCTGTCTCAAAAAAAAAAAAATAAAAAATATAGGTATGAGCTGAGAGGAGAAAACATTTTTAATAATAAATAAAATATAAAATCCAACTCACTGAGGCTACAAGGCCTGCTATGTGTGGCTATGGCTACTTTTTGGTCATCTCCAGCCATGTTCCTCTTCATTCATTTTTCTTGATACAATATGCCCCTTCCCTGTTCTCCAGCAGGCTAACTATATGCTGCCTCAGGGCCTTTGCACTTGCCATTCCTTCCACCTGGCATTCTCCCAGCTCTTTGGATGGCTAAGTCTCTGTGATCACTCAGTCTCTGCTCCATGCTGCTTCTCAGATTGGCCCTATCTGATACTCTCCACCAATACACACACACACACACACACACACACACACACACACACACAGAGTCTTCTCACATCATCCTGTTTGTTATCTTTACACAATCTCCCTTTATCACAATCTGCACTTGTCCTGCTTGTACATCTGCTGCCACTTGTCTGTCTCTTACCTCTGGCCCAATTAGTTCCTTTAAGGCAGAATCTTGTCTCTCTTATTCCCCATTAAATCCCCAGCACCTGAAACAGAGTCTGCCTGGAGCCAATGTTTAACAAATACAGAAATATTGGTGTTTGAGGAATTACCTGAGAACATCATGTATTTTTTTCCTATTGCACATCACCCAAACCCATAGAATCATAACAATCCTAGAACTAGAAGTGGTCTTGTCCAATATCCAAATTTTTCTGACACAAAAACTCAGCATCCAGAGAGGCTAAGTAACTTGTTCAAGACCACACAGGCAGGGCATGGTGGCTCACGCCTGTAATCCCAGCACTTTGGGAGGCCAAGGCAGGTGGATCACTTGAGGTCAGGAGTTCAAGACCAGTCTGGCCAACATGGCAAAACCCCATCTCTACTAAAAATACAAAAATTAGCCAGGCATGGTGGTGGGTGCCTATAATCCCAGCTACTTGGGAGGCTAAGGCAGGAGAATTGCTTGAACCTGGGAGGCAGAGGTTGCAGTGAGCCGGGATCGCACCACTGCACTCCAGCCTAGATAACAGAGCAAGACTACATATCAAAAATAATAATAATAATAAATCACACAGCCAGGAAGCAGCAGAGTGGGGACTAGAACCTTGATCTCCTTCCAGCTGAACTCTCTTTCTACCCTCCCAATCAATTATCCCTGTATACACTTAGGGTTCAGTTACCGATTTGTAAGCTTGTCAGTCTGTTAGTAAAGTTGTAGAAGATCCTGAATTTCAACCTTACAGGATAACTTTTCTTAATAACCTGAAGAAGGCCTGTACGACATGGCCTGCTTTTCAATACACAAACCTAACTTGCTTTAGGTCAGGTCAATATAGGCACATGCCATTTGCACACAAGGGAAGAGAAGAAGAATGATTATTTTCTTCTCAAAGCAAATATCCTATACAAAATAAGAGCTGTCAGTTCTCTATGTTCTTTCCAGACTCTGACCTTTTGCTCACTGTTCTTCCCTCTAATTGGAATGCTGTTTCCCCTCCTCATGGCCAAACTCCTGCTTATTCCTCTAAGCTCAGCTTACCAGTCACTTCCTGGGGAGAGACATTCCTGAGCCTCTTGACCTGGTTCATTTTGTCGATACCTTCGCCCCCAGCATTCATTCTTCCTATAGCCCTCAGCTCACTGATAACGGCTGTTCAATGTCTGCCTCTCCTGCAGGATCACATGCTCCAGGGAAGCAGACGCCTTGTCCATCTTACTCTCTCTCATATCCCAAGAACCAGCTCCATGCCAGGAACACAGTAGCTGCTCAGTCATCACCTGGGAATAATCTAGATTCCCCTTTCTTCTCATGTTGCTAAATGTTACCCCAGCATCTGTACTGAAAACTTGGTCTACTCATTTACCCACATCCAGTGCTGTGAACTCTAACACCTCAAAAGCACTCACATCTATCCCCTCTTTTTTATTTATTTATTTACTTATTTATTTTTTGGACAGAATCTCACTCTGTTGCCCAGGCTGGAGTGCAGTGGCACAATCTCAGCTCACTGCAACCTCCGCCTCCCAGGTTCAAGTGATTGCTTCTCCTGCCTCAGCCTCCCAAGTAGCTGGAACTACAGGCCTGTGCCACCACATCTGGCTAATTTTTGTATTTTTAGTAGAGACGGTGTTTCACCATGTTGGCCAGGCTGGTCTCAAACTCCTGACCTCAGGAGATCCACCTGCCTTGGTCTCTCAAAGTGCTGGAATTATAGATGTGAGCCACCACTATCTCCTCTTAACTGTCACTGCCAATGTACTGGTTTAAACTCTTATTACATCTTCTCTGGAGTACTACAATGGCCCCTGGGGACTGCTAATTTTATATGTCAACTTGGCTAAGCTGCAGTACCCAGATATTTGGTCTCATACCAGATCAGATGTTGCTGTGAAAGTATTTTCTTAGATGAGATTAACATTTACATTAGTAGACTTACAGTAAAGCAGATTGACCTCTATAATATGGGTGGGCCTTGTCCAATCAGTTGAAGGAATTAAGAGAAAAAAACACTGAAGTTCCCAGAGGAAGAGGGAAATCTGCCTGCAGACTGCATTCAGTCTCAAGCTGCAACATCAACTCCTCTCAGCCTCTAGCCTGCCTACCTTGCAGATTTTCAACTTGCCATCTTCCATAATTGCATAAGCCAATTTCTTAAAACAAATATCAGTTTCTCGCTCTCTCTGGATATATATATATATATACACACACACACACACACATATATACACATATATATACACAACTCACATATATGTGTGTGTGTATATATATATATATACACAAACTCAAACTATTTTGTATACATATTATACAATATATATAAATAACCATACTAGTTATATTTATAACTATGTAAATACACACACACACATGCATGCTATTAGTTCAATTTCTCTGGAGAGCCCAGAGTGATATAGCCTTGCAGCCCCAAATCAATCTCCCAGCCTGAAGCTTTGTTCTTCCTGTCTGTTTTCGCGTCCATATCTTTAGTCATGAAGCATCCTTTGTTTGGAATTATCTCCTTCCCAGAGACTCTCCTCCATCCCCCACTTTCCAGTCCCCTGGATTGTCCCAACCCCACACACAACTGACCATCCAAGATAAACCAGGATCAGACTGGAATACAGGTTGATCTGATCTCAAAGTCCACCCCAAAACCCAAAGAGCAGTCAAAACTACTCTTGCTCAATGGTGCGCACACAGCCTGATTCAAAGGCAGAGTGTTTAGATAAGTGGGCATTTCTACACTTTTTATTGTGGAAATGTCTAACATATATAAAAGTAGGACAAATAGTGTCATAACCCTCTTCTACTCATCTCCCAATTTCAAAAATTATCAGCTCATGGCTATTCTTTCATCTACACTCTCTCTTCCTTTAACTCTTGCATTATTTTGAAGCAAATCCTAAACCTTGTATCAATTATCAATGTATTTATGAATATTTCAGAATGTATCTCTGAAAGATAAAGACTATTTGTTTTAACATAACCACAATAGCATTATCCCACTTGAAAATTTGACAATCACCTCTTTTATTGGTGGCAGCAGTGGGATACAATCATCTTTTTTTTTTTTTTTTTTTTTTGAGACACAGTCTTGCCCCGGCTGGAGTGCAGTGGTGTGATCTCAGCTCACTGCAAGCTCCACCTCCCAGGGTCAAGTAATCCTCCTACTCCAGCCTCCCAATTAGCAGGGATTATAGGTGCCCACCACCATCTCCAGCTAATTTTTGTATTTTTAGTAGAGACGGGGTTTCACCACGTTGGCCAGGCTGGTCTTGAACTCCTGACCTCAAGTGATCCACCCGCCTCGGCATCCCAAAGTGTTAGGATTATGAGTATGAGTATGAGCCGCCATGCCTGGCCTACAATCATCTCTTAATATTATCAAATGTCTGGTCCAGTTATCTTATCAATGTCATTAACGCTTTTCAGGTATTTTGTTTGCTTGTTTGTTTGTTTAAATCAGTATCCAAATAAGGTCCAAAGATTGTGACAGACTGTTGTGTCTCTTAAGTCTCTATAAAACCATAGGTTCCCCTCTGTCTTAGTTTGGGCTCCACCAAAAGCATATCTGCAGACAAGAATTTGGGTGCAAACAGTTGATTTTGGAAGCAGTCCCAGAAAACATGGTAAGGAAGTAGAGAAAGGACCCAGAGAGAAGGAATATGAGCCAATAAAGTGCACCTTCAGAAACAGTAGCCACTTGGGGCAGATGGTGTGAAATCCTCGGAGACTTAGGACCTTGCAGACAATGTCCAGCATGGGAATTGGAGCCTCTATTTACCAACTCCCATCCCGCCTTGGCAGAAGGTTGCTCCTGGGGCATGAACTCTCAGCACTCACCACCTGTCCTGTGGACAGAGCCAGCACAGTTCAGCAGCCAGAGTGACCCTCAGGCAGACACACAGGAAGCCTTGGTGTGTGCAAAAGCAGTGTGCAGCTGACCTCCAGTACCGACTATGGGGAGGCACCGACAGCATCAACTACCATCTCCATTTTAGATACGCGTTTTCTTTGTTGAAATAAACAGGTCATATTTTAGTTTCCTATTTCTGCTGCAACAAGTGACCACAAGTTTAACGGCTTAAGCAACGCAAATGTATTATCTTACAGCTCTGGAGAGCAGAAATTTGACACAGATGTCAAGGGGCTAAAATCAAGATGTCAGCAGAGCTGTGTTCTTTTCTGGAGGCTACAGAGGAGGATCCATTTTCTTGCTTTTCCAACTTCTAGAGGCCACTTAATTCATGGCCCCCTTCCTCCACCTTCAAAGCCAGCAATGCAGTTGAGTCTTTCTCACATGACATCACTCTGATATTGACTCTACTACCTCCCTCTTTCATCTACAAGCATCCTTGTGACTATGCCGAACTCATCCAGGTAATCCAAGAGAAATCTCACCCTTCTCAGGGTCAGCTGATTAGCAATCTTAATTGCACCTACAACTTTAATTCTCCCTTGCCACATAACCTAATATAGTCACAGATTACAGGGATTAGGACGTGGACATCTTTGAGGAATCATTATTCTAATCATCAAAGACAGTCTGGAATTTGCTAATGCATCCTCGTGGTGCTATTGTTACATGTTCCTCTGTCCTCTGTAGTTTCTGTACATTGCAGTTGGAATTAGAGACTTAATTGATTCAGGGTCAATTTATTTTTGGCAAGACTGTGTCATAGGTGGTATCGTGAGTGTCCACATTGTAAAAATTACCTTGCAGGATAAGGCACACTTATGCACACTAAGTAGACTGAGAATTTACAGCTGCTTATAATCAATCCTCCTGTTACAATTCACAAGGTGTCAAAAAATATTGGACTAGGAGAAATTTTCAAAGCAAGATATATATTCCTTTTATTCTTTATGCAGAAAAAAATCTTTTTTGTTCCCATTTGTAGGCAAAAAAATCATCATCATCATCAAGAATGAGAAAAGTTTTTGAAAAAAACATTTGCGTGGTTTAGAGGAAAAAGAACTTTCAAAACAAAGCAAGAAACTTGTATTCCCAGCATTCTCTAATCAGGAGTTCTAAAAGCACATTCTATCTGAAACTCAATTTTTTCAGCACCAAGGGCTCCCAGGTTTTCTATAAGATGCCCGAAACTCATGACCCACTGCAAGAAAGGTACCCAAGTACATACAAAACTGAAACAAAATACAGTTGCATCTCATTTCCTCACCATTTCAGCCACTGGAGAACACCTAGTCTCCAAATTAGGTCAGAAGGATAACAGTTTGCCAAGGGACATGTGAAGAAGAAATCTTTCCGGCCCAGACATAGTGAGGAAGAATAACCACTCGACCCAAGGAATGAACTTAGTTTTGTTTTCTTTTGTTCTTGTCATTCATGTTTTCAATTTTCTAAAATTGCTTACTTCTCTGGGTTTTCAAATGTCAGAGGCAGAAAGTTTCTCACCTTACAGAATCTCCCAGAACTCTGTCATCAAATTACAGAGTGGCCAACAATGACGTTAACATTTATCTATGTCACACATGAACATCATATTTCATAGTAACTGGTCTTAACAAAAAACAGTATGTGCAACTTTAGACCACAGGACATACACTTGGCCAGGAGAGTGGAAAAAGTAGCAAGCAGGAAGGGAAAAAAAATTATTTTCAAAGAGCTTTTAAAATGGGGAGGAAAAGTCATTGGTGATAAAATATGGCTCTGTGAAATGAAAGCAACATAATTTAAAAGACAGTGTGGATTTACCCATACTCATGGATGGAAGAGAAATTAGTGGAAGATGTACTTTGCAAACTCTAACAGAGTAGCTATACAAAGTAACAATAACAACACAATAACTATATAAGAACATACAGAACTATATCTACTGAATACATAATTTTTTATTATTCATTTTTATTGGATTTTCTGACTAAAAATATTTAACCCATATAGATATGCATAACTTAGAAAATAGAAACTTTTCAGTCAGGTGTAGTGGCTCACACCTATAATCCCAGCACTTTGGGAGGCTGAGGCGGGTGGATCACCCGAGGTCAGGAGTTCAAGACCAGCCTGATCAACATGGTGAAATCCTGTCTCTACTAAAAATACAAAAAAATTAGCTGGGTGTGGTGGCATGCAGCCTGTAGTCCCAGCTACTTGGGAGGCTGAGGCAGGAGAATCACTTGAACCCGGGAGGCAGTTTGCAATAAGCCAAGATCCCACCACTGTACTCTAGCCTGGGTGACAGAGCAAGACTCTGTCTCAAAAAAAAAAAAAAAAAGAAAAAAGAAACTTTTCATAATTCTATCACATAGAAAAACATTGTTAACAATACTGGGTAAGTTATTTCCAATATATAATTATATATGCTCATATACATATATAAATGGTTACACATATATACAACATATATAATAAATTACTTATCACATTTTATATGACAAAAAAATTGGCTTCAAAGATAGGATCATATAAAACATATCTTCTTTACCTTATCAATGAAGCATGGATATCTCTGTATATTGACACATCTATCTAATCTGATCTTTTGAATGACTGCATCATAGGCCATGAAGAACAGTGCTCATTAATATAACTTCTCCCTATTAATGGGCTTTTAGGTTATGACCTTTTGAATGATCTTCTAGGGAAGATAAAGGAAAAGTGTATTAAATCCCTTCTCAAGTAAAAGCAACATAAAATACACTTTTTAGAACTCTTTCTTCAGCCTACCACATGGGACTTGGAAAATTTAAATACTGTCCGCTTTTTATTTGAATTCCATTGATGTCAGTTTTGCTTATTTGCACAGATTGGGCTCATTATAATATTTGGTATGACACATTCTTATCTCTGATCTATGCTTTTAATAATTTTATTAGTCATTTTTTAAATATCATTAGCTTATAGAAACTCATCATCAACAACAAAACCTAGGACCCTGTCAACAACTCACATCCAACCCTGTGGTCTCCTAAGCCCATCTTCCTACTCCTCTTACCTCATGTTGCCACCTTCCTGAATCTCAGTCATCAATGCCTTGCTTGCATTTTTATTTTCACTCATACCCTAAATATCGAAACTCACTAGGTTAATTTCTGTTGATGAAAAATATTGTCATCATTGTAGTTGCTTGCATTTTTACACTCTTTTTTACATCTGATGTGTATACGTAAAAGTATGTTTTTATTTTAGTTTTTAACTTAAAAAATGAGTATCTACTTGCATGTAACTTCTTGGAATTTTTTTTTCCTCTTACCTAATATGACATTCCCAAGCACCTTCATTTGGGTTCTCCCAAAAGCTGACTTAGGACAAGGATTCAAGTGCAAATTGTTTGGGATGGAGGTAGAGAAATGAGACAGGGAAGGAAAGACAGTCAACAAAAGCACAGCATATGAGAAGCAACAGCTTCATGAATATGGGTTTCCTTTTAGGATAATGAAAATGTTTTGGAACTAGAAAGTGGTGGTTGCACAACATTGCCACTGAACTGTTCCTTTTTAAATGATTAATTTGTGTCATGTGTGTTTCATCTCTTTTTTTTTAATAAAAGTGCAAAGGCATAAGAATTATATAACGGACTTTGGGGACTCGCGGTGGGGAGGTTGGGAGGGGGTGGTACAATGCTCAGGTGACAGGTACACTAAAATCTCAGAAACCACCACTAAAGAACTTATCCACGTAACCCAAAAACCACCTTACCCCAAAAACTATTGAAATGAATTTTTTTAAGTGCATTATCAAACCAACCACCACTGACGGCAACTGGAGCTTAGCCTCTCTGGGGAAGCTCAGGGTGTACATATACATACTTCAGAGTTATCTCACCCAGGCAGCGAGGCAGCTGGGGTTTACCAACTCCTGTCATTCAAAGATTGAGAACTCTTCCCAAGGAATGTCAATTCCCGGGGCTTCCAGCCTGCAATGGAGATGGCAAAGTGCACTCCAGCTTGTGGACACTGAAGATATGAGCATGAGGGCTAGAGGCAGGACAGGTGCAAGCACTGCCAGCTGTATCGAAGTTCGCCATATTGTTGCCTTTTCCACCCTTTGTTTGTGTTTTAATTTTTGTTTTTTGTTTTTTATTTTTCTGATTTACTTTTTTTTCTTAACTTTCATTTTAGGTTCAGAGGTACATATGCAGGTTTGTTATATAGGTAAATTGGGGGTTTGTGTACAGATTATTTTGTCACCCAGGTAATAAGCATAATACCTGATAGGTAGTTTTTTGGTCCTCTCCCTCCACCCTCAAGTAGGCCTCAGGGTCTATTGTTTCCTTCTTTGTGTGCATGTATACTCAAAGGTTAGTTCCCAACTTATAAGTGAGAGCATACAGTGTTTGGTTTTCTGTTCCTGTATTAGTTTGCTTACGATAATGGTTTCCAGCTCCAACCATGTTGCTGCAAAGAACATGATCTCATTCTATTCTATGGCTGCATAGTATTCCATAGTGTATATGTACATTTTTTAAATCCAGTCTACCACTGATGGGCATTTAGGTTGATTCTGTGTCTTTGCCATTGTGAATAGCGCTGTGATGAACATACACGTGCATGTCTTTATGGTAGAAAGATTTACATTCCTTTGGGTATATACCCAATAGTGGGATTGCTGAGAAATACAAATCAAAACCACAATGAGATACCATCTCACATCAGTCAGAATGGCCAGTATTAAAATGTCAAAAAAAAAAAAAAAAAAAAAAAACAGATACTGGCAAGGTTGTGGAGGAAAGGGAACACTCATACACTGCTGATGGGAATGTAAATTAGTTCCGCCACTGTGGAAAGCAGTTTGGTGATGTCTCAAGGAATTTAAAACACCCTTTGTGTTTTTTTGCTGCTGTGTTACATTCCATTATTGGAAAATACCACACTTTTTCATGCACATTCTGTTATTTGATTTGTTTCCAATTGATATTAGAAAATATGGCATTAGGGGGAAAATTGTGTAAATTCAAGGGGTACAAGTGCAATTTTGTTACATGGATATATTGCCTAGGGTGAAGTCTGAGCTTTTAGTGTAACCATCACCAGAATAATGCACATTGTACCCATTAAGTAATTTCTCATCCCCCATCCCCTCCCGCCTCCCACCCTTCCAAATCTCCAGTGTCTGTTATTCCATGCTGTGTGTCCACATGTACACACTATTCAGCTTCCATTTGTAGTTGAGAACATACAGTATTTAACTTTCTGTTTCTGAGTTATTTCACTTAATGGCTTACAGCTCCATCCATGTTGCTGCACAAAACATAATTTCATCCTTTTTCTGGCTGAATAGTATTCCATAGTGTGTGCATATATATATATATATATATATATATACATATATATATATATATATATATATATATATATATATATATATCACATTTTCTTTATCCATTCATCCATTGATGGACACTTTGGTTGATTCCATAACTTTACTATTTTGAATACTGCTGCATTAAACCTCATAGTGCATATGTCTTTTTATATAACAATTTCTTTTCCTTTGGGTAGATACCCAGTAGTGGGATTGCCAATCAAATGATCGTTTGATTTTTAGTGCTTTAAGAAATCTCCATACTATCCTCCATAGAATTTGTACTAATTTACATTCCCCCGATGGGTGTATAAAGCATCCCCTTTTCTATGCATCCTCCCCAGCATCTGTTATTTGGTGATTTTTTGTTAATAGACATTCGGGGCCAAGTGCAGTGGCTCAAGCCTGTACTCCCAGCACTTTGGGAGGCCGAGGTGGGAGGATCACTTGAGCCCAGAAGTTTGAGACAAGCCTAGGCAACATAGCAAGACCTCGTCCCTACTAAAAATCAAAAAAATTAGCAGGGCGTAGTGGCTTACACCTGTAGTCCTAGCTACTCAGGAGGCTGAAGTGAGAGGATCACTTGAGCCCAAGATATCAAGGCTGCAGTGAGCTATGATCACACCACTGCACTCCAGCCTGGGTGAAGAGCGAGACCCTGTCTCAACAATAATAATTAATAATAGCAATCTGGACTGCTGTAAGATGATATCTCACTGTGATTTTAATTTGCTTTCTCTGATATCAGTAATGTTGAGCATTTTTTCACATGCTTGTTGGCCTTTTAGGTTATATCCAGAAGAAAAATTACTAGGTCACAGGATTATAATTTTTCCTATTGAGTTTACAAGACTAAACTGTTTTTCCAAAATGGATGCACCAATTTGCATTCGCTCTGCAACTCCACATCCCTTGTAACCCTTAGTTTGTCAGATTTTTTTTATTTATTTATTATTTATTTATTTATTTATTTTGAGACGGAGTCTCACTCTGTCACCCAGGCTGGAGTGCAGTAGCGCAGTGGCATGATCTCGGCTCACTGCAACCTCCGCCTCCCAGGCTCAAGCCATTCCCCTGCCTCAGCCTCCCGAGTAGCTGGGATTACAGGCGCCCGCCACCATGCCTGGCTAATTTGTATTTTTAGTAGAGACGGGACTTCACCATATTAGCCAGGATGGTCTCAATCTCCTGACCTCGTGGTCCGCCCACCTCGGCCTCCCAAAGTGCTGGGATTACAAGCATGAGCCACTGCGCCTGGCCTTTTTAAAATTTTTACCAAACAAATTAGTGCAAAATAATATCTCATTCTGGTCTTGCTTTGCCTCATTATTAATGATGTTCCACATCTCCTTATACATTTATTAGTAGTCATATATGTTTCTACATTTGAAATGTCTGTTATTCTCATTTGCCCATGTTTCTATTAGGTTGTTGAGCTTTGCTTATTTATTTCTAGAAATTCTTTACATATGGCTCATTAATACTCTCCCTTGTTAGCTGCATGTGTTGTGAATATTTTCTTCTAGTTTGGAATGTCTTCCACCTTTTCACGAGTCTGTTGATAACCAATATTCTTCGTTTTAACAGTCAAATTTATCAAACATATTAGTTTTAAAAATACCGTCTGACCACAGAAAGCTAGTCAAATAAACTATGGTACATCTATACAACGAAATAGTGGATAACTATTAAAAATTTTGTTGAAAAATATTTCTTGAAACTGAACATTTTTTTGCAACTTAATGTTAAGCTAAAAACACACACCAAAAAACAGTATGTATATCAAGATCCCGCAGTATGAATTTTTTTAAGTTTAATAATATACTATGTTAGCAAGTTTCTGGACAAATAAGCAGTCTTATTCACTCTTGGTGAAGGGTGTAAATTTCTACAATCTCTGTAACTTGCAATTTGGCAATGTCTATCAAAAATTTAAATTTATGTATAACTTGACCCAGCAATTCTCCTTGAGGATATTTACTCAATCAATATCCTCATATGTGTGCCAGGATACATACAATTATATTCATTGCAGCACTGGTTAATAGCAAAAGACAAAATTATAAAACAGCCATACAATGGAATACTATGCAGCTGTTAAAAAAAGAACAATGTTGTCTATATGTATTATAATGCAATTATCTCCAAGGCACATTGTTAAGTGAAAAGGGCAAGATAGTATTGTATATCATTTGCATTAAAAATATTTAGTGCTATGTAAATCCTTTGCATGTATTATTTGCATAGAATGTTTCTGAAAGCAAAAAAAGAAAAAAAAAAAGCTAATTGATTAATTGCTTCCTAGGAAGGGACTTGGTCTACAGGATATCCTCACAACCTCTTTAGGAAGTAAATATTACTATTTTATTCATTAGACACGAGGAACCTAGAACAAGGGAACTCCAGAAGCCCCAGTGGAATGAAAAGAAAGGAATCCAATGAGATCATCGCTATTAATTCACTCCAAGTTTCTTGACTGTTGTCTCTGTGCCAGGCTCTCTGGAATCGCAATAGCACCTACAGCACAGAGTGGTTTGGTAATTAAATAAGACCCAATAAGCAGGAATTTGCTCCCCACAGATGCTTGATAAATAGGAGCTGGGTTTTATAACAATTTAATTAATAATATATAGTCATTCATTTTGCAGCTCATCTCATTTGGTTTTGCCAACAGCACTGTGTATAAAGTAAGGCAAGAGTGGTTGCTATCATATCCATTTTACAGAAAACTGAGGCTCAGGAAGGTGAAGTTCATAGGGGCTCCCCATGCAACCAATTCTGGAGCACATAGAAGAGGCTTCCTGGAGCTGATGGTGCCCAACCACCAGAGGGCTCAGACAGAATCCTGGCTCTGCCCCTCACTTGCTGTATGGCATCCTGAGCAAGTTACTTAGGTTTTCTGCGCCTCGAGTTTTGGCATCTATAAAATGGAAACAAACGAAAGCACTGCATCTTAAAATGCTGAAGATGAGATGAATGAATATGTATCAATGACTACAACTAGTGATTCCTTTAAAACGTTAAGTCAGATCCTGTCACTCTTCAGTTCAGACCTTTCCATTGGCTCCCATCTGCTTTGCAATAAAATCCAAAATCCTCACTGCGAATGGCCCATGGAACTTCACATGGCCTGGGTGTCCAGCAACTTTCTCCCTGTTCTCAGCCTTTGGCTCACTCCTCCTCCACCAGCTGGCTTCCTAGCTGCCTGGGGACACACAGAGCTCAGCCCTGCCTCCAGGCCTTAGGACATTTTGTTCCCTCTCTTAGGAACACACTTCCTCGCTCCTCTGTCACCTCTCAAGCCACCCTTCCCTGACCACTTTCCCCATCACCCTCCTTGTCCTGCTGGATTTCTTTCTCATCAGCACTTACGGCTGCCCAACAGACCACACATAGTGTTTATCTGCATATTCATTTCTTGTCCATTGGCCCTGCTCTGAAATGCAAGCTTGATGAGGGCAGGAATAGGCTGTTTTGTGCATCACTGCATCCCCAAGACTTGGAACAATGTCCGGCACCTTGCTGGCCCTCTATAAATGTTAGGTCTCCCAAAAGGCAGGAGACAGGGTCACTACAGGCAATGAACACAGCATAAGCAAAGGCCTGGTGGTGGGGACAGAGCATAATCCAAGCAGGGACCCACACGGAGTTCCTTTGACCTGGTGCTGCCACCCTGGTTAGGGGAAATGGGCTCTGCTTACCACCAAGACACCTTGGACACATGGATTTCTTAGAAGCCCAGTGAAAATGCTTTGGGCTGACTCCTTCTCCGATACTTCCTCATCCCCTGTTCTGTTTGACCCCTCATCCTTTGCCGGGGTCATTGCTGCCTTCATCTGCAGCCCAAGGATAGGGGTACAGGCAGCCAGGGCTGGGGGCCCCTCAGTCCCAACTAGCAGCTTTGGGGGTCTTTGGAAGGCTGGTATCTAACAGAATGAGGGGAAGACTTTGGGAAGGAAGAAACCTCCCCAGGGAAAAGCTACCTTGTACAGAACTCACAGCTCACAGCCATAAAAAGAATAAAAACTAGAAAAGGCTCCATCTCCTTGGCCCCTTTAAGAAAGACACCTTGGGATTCTGGCTGGAGGTCACAGCAGGAAACTGGACATGTACAGAAGGGGCTGCCCGATAAAATAAATAATCATTTATTAAGGTACTTGTCTACACAGCAGGAAATCAGCACAGGGAGTGTGGGTCGGGGAACAGAGCCTCCCTGAAGAAGGCAGCTATCTTTAAAAGGGGGGATCTTGATTTGAAACACTTGTCTCCAGATGGGACCAGTAATCCTCAGCCCTTAGCCTCATTCCAAACCTCCCAAGAAAAGGAATAGCAGTGCACAGCTTTCTAGAACCTTCCAGGGCAGGAAGAAAAACGAAGAATGAAGAGACCTTCTTCAGGCCACCACACTGGCTTCCCCCCAACTTGTGCCCACGAGTTTTGGGCTGGAGCTGAGACGATAGCCTAGCAACATGTTTTATTTCTGCAAAAGGAAGTGATCTTTGAAACGGAGCCACAAGAAGATCTGAAAAGGGATTTCCTGATCACAGCCCTGGGTGAAGCAACTAGGATGGAGCTTCCTCCAAAGCCAGACTGGCTAGGGCACCACTGCTCCCCCTTCTTGAAAGCTTCGTACTTTCTCCTTCCACAGACGCTGTGCAGGATTTTCTCTCTTTGCCTGGAATGTTCTCTCCCTACCACATGCTCCACCACCTCCACCATCCCTTGCATCCCTTGGCCTGGGCAACTTCTTCTCCATCTTTCAGATTTCAGCTGAACCAGGGAAGCCTTCTCTGATCACTTTTTTTTTTTTCCTGAGACGGAGTCTCACTCTGTCGCCCAGGCTGGAGTGCAGTGGGGCAATCTCGGCTCACTGCAAGCTCCGCCTCCCGGGTTCACACCATTCTCCTGCCGCACCCTCCCGAGTAGCTGGGAATACAGGCGCCCGCCACCACGCCCAGCTAATTTTTTTGTATTTTTTTAGTAGAGACGGGGTTTCACCGTGTTAGCCAGGATGGTCTCGATCTCCTGACCTCGTGATCCGCCCACCTTGGCCTCCCAAAGTGCTGGGATTACAGGGGTGAGCCACAGCGCCCGGCCTCTGATCACTCATAAGCAACCAGCTGAGCTGCTACATATGGGCTCTCGCATACCCACCACCCCCACAGCGCCAAATTGTGTATTGCTCAGTGCTTATCATGGCTGGCACTGCACACTTTATATGGATGCAATAGTTTATTGCATCTCTTCTCCACTGCTTCAGTTGTACCTAACACTATAGCCACAATGCATGACACATGGTAGTCCCTCAATGAAGATGTGTTGAATTAATGAACAAATTGACCTTTGGGAAAAATATATCAGTATACTTCAGTCTCCTAGTTAAGTGTCCAAACACTTGAATGTATGCATGAATGAGGGATGAATAAATGAGCAAGTGAATGAATGAGCAAATGAATAAATGAGCGGGTGAGTGAATGAGTGAGTTATTGAATGAATGAGTGAATGAGTAACATAGTGACTGCATGAGTGAAGGGGGAAGTAAAAGAGCGAATGAATAAGTGAATGACAATGGCTTCCTTGAGGGTGGTCCTATTAGTTAATGCCTTTTTTCGGTCTCTCCTTTTCTCTGTATGCAGAGAAACAGATAGAAGAGGCTGGCATGAATGTGACTCTAACCAAAACATGTGGCAAGGGAAGGAGGGCATTTCCCAAAGGGGCACCTGGTGGTGGGGGGCAGGGGGATGCTTCCAGGCAGAAGCTGACCCCCAAGGGGCAGCTCTGTCCCTGACCCCTTTCACCTTCCCTTGTTCTGATCTTTATGGGGCCGTCTGCCTTTTAGCATCAAAGGAGACAGCAGGTCCGTGACTTGTCCCACAGCAGCTCTATAAAAATGTAATTACCCAATAACCTGCTGTCTGCAAAACAAACCATCTTCCTGTTTCTTCTCCCATAAAAAGCATTTGACAGCCCTGTTCTATCAGCTTATAAAACCTGGAAAGAGTTGGCTTAGACCCCTCTGAAATGAAAACCCTTAGCGGGGAAGAGTCCCAAGTTGGGAGAAACACACCTCTGACCCTCCAGGCAGTTGCTTCAAAGTCACTGGAGGTTTTCAGAGAAGGCAAAGACAGCAACCTATCTTGGAAAAATGGAGGACTGGATAATGCAAATCACACCTAAAAAGGGCAAAAGCCTTGGAAACTCTAAGAGCCCAGGCCTGCTGTGGGCACAGGCAGCATCATTGTATCTCACCAGAAAGTCATTCCTTCATTTATTCACTCAATAAACATTTATCGGGCACCTGCGACATGCTAGGCATTAGGCTAGGCCCTGAGGGTAAGACTCTAGTGTAATAAGTGCTGGTCCTTTAAGAAACTCACATCTAAAATATACATTTATTTTAAATAATGGAGCACTTTGATCTGAATTTATTGACATGTAAAAAGTGCATATAATCCATGATTACATGGGTGAGGCAGGTTATAAAACAGTAAGTGGTGATGGATACATAACATCAAAAATGTACTTAATGCCACTGAATTGTACACTTAAAATGGTAAGTTTTATGTTACATATATTTTACCAATATCTACATTGGTAGATTTTGATTGATATGGCTACGTTGACAGATATGGCTTCATTTTGACTTTTTTTCATTGAAAGGGAAACAGAATGGAACTGGGAGGTGGTGATAAAATTATTCTATATCTTGACTGTGAAGCTATCTAGTGGGTTCATGTGTTCCCCACAAAGATATGTCCAAGTCCTACCCTCTAATGTCTGTGAACATGACCTGATTCGGAAATAGGGACTTTGCAAGTGTAACTAAGGCAAGGATCAAGATGAGATTATACTTGGATTGAGGATGGTCCTAAACCCAATGAGACTGTCCTTGCAGAGAAAGGAGAGGGGGATTTGACACACATAGGAAAAGAGGTCCCGTGAACAGGAAGGTGGAGATTGGCCTGATGTGGCCACAAACCGGGGAATGCCTGAAGCCATCAGGAGCTGGAAGACACAAGGAACAGCAACTGCGGGAAACTAACCCAGACTGTCTACCAGACAGCATGCTTTCATCACAGAACTGTTCACTAACAAGGGTAGCTTTGCTGTATTCAAATTATACTTTGATTTTTAAAATATCTTTTAAATAGAAACAGAGGGATTGAACAGACATTTCTGGTGTTTCTAATACTTGTTTTACCGTGAATATACATTGTATAAGGAGTTCATGGTCTGATGAGTGAGACAGGTAAGAAAATTGACAATTGTAGGATATGAGAGCTGGAGCATCTAAATCAGACTGGGGAGGGGGTTCCATGAAAGCGTTCCCAGAAAGAGGACACTGATCAGAAGGAAGCTGAGCAAAGAAGTGAGGGTGGAGGAGAGAGGGCATTCCAGGTACAATGGGCATTGAAAGTGCCTGCATCTTACTAACCAAGCGACCGGGTCAGCAAAGTCACACAGCTTCAAGTTCCTCAGCCCTAAAAATGGTGACCATAATCCTTAATATCTCATAAGCTTATGGGATGATTAAGGGAGGCAATATGTATATAAGACTCCACAGAGTCTGATATGGATTAAGTACTGGAAAATGCCAGTTATCGTCACTATCAGTATTAGCATAATCAGCTGCAGCCAGATTGGTGGGTTAGAATCTTGGCCTGGCCACTTGCCGTGTGTCCTCGGATCAGCTATTTAACCTTTCTGTGCCTCAGTTTCCTATTCTGTAAAATAAGGATAAATAATGGTATTTGTGCCTTAGGGTATTGTGAGGATTATACGAGTTAATACCTATAAATCAATTACAACAGCACCTGGCATATGGCAAAGACTATATAAGAATTAGCTATTATATTTTGTCATGACTATAAAGGAAAGGAAACGTCTGGAAACAGTACAAAAGAGAAGTGGAATGGCCAAACGTGCTTGGGGAAAGAGCAGTGTAAGAATCATCTTCATGGAAAAAAAAAAAAGCAAATAAAGCCTTTGAAAAAAAAAACAAAGGGAAATCACAAATCTGAAAATAAAGTGTCTTATGATGATGGGGTTACATTTTGGACCAAGATATTTTTAGCTAACAAAATCGAGTTAAAATGGATTTTGACAGAGTGAAAAGATGTGGGAAATGCATAAAGGAGTCACGCTTGAAAGGCTGAAGGTAAATCAGCCTCTTTGTTAGGGAAAGTTTCACTGCGTTCAACATTTGGAATTGATGACTTTGGTGGTTTCCTTTGGGGAAGAAAATATCCTGACATTTCCTGGTAAGTCTTCCTTCCTACCTTCTCGGCCTTAATGATATTCTCTATCAGCCTAATGTCCCTGCTTGAGCATTGATGGCTGTGTGGACACAGATAATATCCAGAATATTAGCAGTTTGGAAGGCTCAGAGCAGCATCCACCACCTTCATAAAGACGCAGGCAACATTACCGCATAAGCACCTCTTAACGTGCAGTCACAAATCACTGCTCAACAAATTCCAGAATTTCAAAGCTGTGGCATAAATTTCCAAGCCAGAAAAACAGCATGCGAGCCTTAAGTGCTGGGTTTCAACCCTCTAGACTCCCTGGAACCACTGTCTGAGGTTCTGGCAGCATCAATATGGCCCTTTCAGCCTTCTAAGGAATATGAATGGTGTGTTAAGCCAATGAGAGACAGCATGTAGTCTTTGAATGGAAGCCACAGTGTGTACACCAAGGCTCTTGGCTCTGCTTTGAAATTTTGAATAGCAAATCCCTGCTCAATCCTCTGCATTATCGTCTTTTAAATGGGTGTAGCAATTTTTATCCTGACATAGAATAGAAGGTCTTAAACTCTTTGGGGGTAAAGGGGATGGGGTGAGTAAAAAAAAAACAAAAAAACTATGAATATTGGGATTTTATTTTGCCTTTGAGGGAAATCTTTAGAAACATCATTTTACCCATTAGTAATACATTCAGCTCCAAGTAATAAGAATGCCTCACTATATGCTTTAATTTAATAGTCCTTTCTTACATAATAAGAATTCCAGAAGTGGTCAGCTTCATGTTCAGGTTCGGCAGCTCAGCCACATCTTGACCAATATTTTGACAAAACAGTTGCTGCAGTTCCAGCCATCACATCCAAATTCAAGACAGGAAAAAAATGGAAGGGGAAAGTGCTGCATCTGTCCCTTTTTCCAGGACAATAAATTTTTTTTTCCCAGAACATTTTGCAACAGACCTTTTGGACAGAGCTGGGTCATATACCATCTCAGATGCAAGGAAAGCTTGGAAATTAGATAACAGAACTTTGACCGATTATAATCCATAGCCTGGGTCTGGGCTCAGTGCTGCTCTGAACAAAACCTGGATCCTCTTACAAAGGGGAAAGGGCAATGGATATAAGGCAGGCAATGAACAGTCTGCCCAACTCTTCAATCCCAACATGCACACAACTTCAGTGATCAGAAAAGGTAATCAAAAAAAAAAAAAAAAAGAAAAACAGAAGAAAAGAACCTGAGGCAAAAATAATAACAACGCAACACTATTCATTTCTTGAAGGGAAACTGATAAACCTTATATGTGTTGGCCTGATACCAGGATACATTTTTAAAACTTGTGAAAGTGAAAGCAGTATCTGTAGAGATGTTCTGAAATAATTCCAACGGGTGAACAGTCAGATTCCAAGCTTCTCGTCTAATTGGCATGAATAAGTCTCACTGAATTACTCTGATGGGAAAGGATATTTTCCCAATTCAAAGCACCCACAGTGAAACATGAGAGAAACTTGGCATAATCTTTCCAGTCAGTGGATATGTATTGGGCAAAGCAGACATGGTTCCTACACTCACAGAGCAAACAGTCTAGCAAGGCAGATGAAGAATCACATAGACAAACACAATGCTATAAACTAGCACTCTACTAAGTGCTATGAAACTTAACAGGGTGCTCGGAGGCAGAAAAGCCTAACTGAAGCTGGATAGGATCAGGACGATGATCTAGAAGCACAAGCTTCAGAACCAGGTCTGGGTCAACTTCCCAATATGCCACCACGCCCAAGACCAGTGAACTTGGACCGTAATAAAAATAAGAATTGACTAAGCACGGATCATGCATTAAACACCACACTCAGCTGTTCAATCACCATGACAAAAGTTTGAGGTTACCTAGTCCCATTTTAACAAGAGGATGATCGGGGATAGAAATTCACCTACCTGAGGTCACAGAATTGGTAACTGGAGTAAGTTGGTATGACCCTGTGTTACTCCTTCTGCGAAAGCTAAAGCCGTGCAAACTCCCTACGTCTCAGGTTCTCACATGTGCAGATATCAGGCTGGTAGATGAAATTAGGTGAAATGATCCATGGGCAGCAGTGAGCACCATGCCTGGCACACAGCAAGTGTGCAATAACCGACAACTATTATTCAAACTCTGAGTTTCTGAGATTCATCTGATCATTTCTTCAAGTCCTCTTGGCCTGGGAAGTCTGAATCCAGCCATGCCAACTGATCGATCTTCACAGGGGCTTTGAGATCTCAGGGGTCAAAGAGACTGGAAAATCCATTCTTTTTCTTTCTATGCAAATCAGGAAACACTTAGGTTAATAGCTAACAAAAATAAATCAGAATAATGAGAGCTTTAGTTCAAAATTTTTAAAAACACAAAACAATTACCAGATCTCTTAAAATGAATAGCAGTCAGGTAAGTTCTCAAAATTAGACCCAAAGACTTTTGCTTGTTTTGAACCATGAAGAAATTTTTCAAGAGATGAAATTGAGGACATATATCTTGAATCATTTGGGGATCGAGGGACTCATTAAGCCATGTCAATAAGAGGAGTTATTTAAGCAAATGGATAAAAGCCATTTATTATTTAGCACTTTATATTTGTAAAGGGCTGATCCATTTTCTCTAGCCCTACCTGCTCCTGACCCCACATTACTTATGAATTTTTTCAGAGCTTCTCACTGATGAACAGGCATCCTTCAGTGCCTGAAATGAACAGGTATTACCATTTTACAGATAAAAAGGGTGAGGCAAAGAACAAAGCCCTCAAATGAGAAGACTGGAGCAAAGCATGGTTTACCCCTGTTTATCAGCTAAGGAAATGAAAGCAGAGACCGACTGGGAGATTGAGCTGAACCTAGGTAAACTTGCCCGAGATCAGCCAAGATGGCAACCCACACATTCTGCTCTCGGGGTCCACAGACTCAGATAGCCCTGCTCAGGAAATCAGAGTTTCATCAAGTTCAGAGGATAATGAATACCAACAACAATACCAGCAATAAGAATTTTTTTTATTATACTTTAAGTTTTAGAGTACATGTGCACAATGTGCAGGTTTGTTACATACGTATATATGTGCCATGTTGGTGTGCTGCACCCATTAACTCATCATTTAACATTAGGTGTATCTCCTAATGCTATCCCTCCCCGCTCCCCCCACCCCACAACAGGCCCCGGTGTATGATGTTCCCCTTCCTGTGTCCATGTGTTCTCATTGTTCAATTCCCACCACCTATGAGTGAGAACATGTGGTGTTTGGTTTTTTGTCCTTGCAATAGTTTGCTGAGAATGATGGTTTCCAGCTTCATCCATGTCCCTACAAAGGACACGAACTCATCATTTTTTATGGCTGCATAGTATTCCATGGTGTATATGTGCCACATTTTCTTAATCCAGTCTATCATTGTTGGACCAGCAATAAGAATTCTAAAAGCTACTGTTCCTTATTGAGCCCTTACTATGCCAGGCACTGGGCTAAGCCCTTTGTATTCACTGCCTCTTGGATACTCCAACAACCTTATGAGTTAAATACTATATATTATCATAAACCCCAACTTTACAGATGAATAAGATGATGCACGAGATAATATGTAACTTGCTCAGCATTCCACGAAGCAGCAGCTGCAGAATGAGCATTTGAACCCAAGCGCTCTCAAACCTGTGACTACATTTCAGGGGGGTTGAAAGGGTTGCAGGAATTCCAGAAGCTTTTGCCATCCAGCCAAGCCCTTATTAACTTCAGGAAAAAAAAATAACTGTGAGATCTACAGATGTTTTAGGAAGGTGAGCAAAGGAGTCAGGGCTCCAAGTTGTCACCGTGTGTTGGGAGCTTCCTATTTACCACCAATACGCACAGCACACCAAACACTTGCCCTTATTCAGTGCTCCTGGCAGCCCTATGAGGAGGGAGGAGGGATCCCCATTCCACCTGACAGATGAGGAATTTGAAGGTCAGAAAAGTTGCCTTAACCAGCAGATGGCAGCGCCACATTCAACATCATGCCATCTCGCTTCTGTAAAGAAAATTTAGGTAGCTTTGCAATACCCTTTCAAACCACTCCTGCCATGCAGAGAAATCTGGAGGGAACTCATATCTCTATAAAAATAATGAGTAGGAACTTGGAAAGACTCAAATTTCCCATCAGAGTCCCAAGCCTGTTCCTCTGGCTCCCAGCCTAGCTGTTGCCAGTCTCCCAGGAGTCCTGAAAACCTCGGTGGTTCTGGGACACTGTGTTAGTGTGTGTGTTAGTTCAGGTCCTCTGAGAAACAGATGCCAGGCAGGACCACACTTACAAGGATTGTACAGAGGGAAATGCTTGTGTGAGGGAAAATGAAAAGGGAGCTGGAAGAAGCTGGCAGAGCCGTCAGACTGAGATAGATGCATGTCCAACCTGGAGTGAAGGGGAGGTAGGACAGAGGCCTCCAAGACTGATGTGCAGTCCGGAGATAGATCTGCAAGGCCCTTGGGGAGTCCCAGAGCAAACTCACTGCTGGAGGAGTCCCGTGTCTCCCAGAAACAGGGCCTGCCTTCACATCCCTCCTCACTCAGTCTTTGGCTTGGAGCAAACAGTGGGAGGCCAGGCCTGGCAACAAAAAGCCATGGGTGTCAGAGTAGCAGCTGGTGCCCTTGTAAAATCACACTCCCTGTAGTAGGAGGTTGGTGAGGCACAGACATTTTCAAGGCTCACAGGAACTCAAGGCAGGTGAGTGTCCCCAGGGCTGCTCCAACCCAACCTCCATGCTGGGGTGACACTGTCGTCCAACTACCTTGGGGACTGGCAAAGTCCCACTGAGGTAGAAGTCAAGACTCAACTCCAGAGGCAGGGCTCAGACATGGAACCAAATTGAGGACTAGCTAAAACAGAGACAGGGTGGAAGCCCTTTTCCATAAGACACGCCCACTAGTGTGCCATGTCAGTTTACCATTGCCATAGCAACACTCAGAAGTTACCACCCCTTTCCGTGAAGTAACTGACCTGACAATCCAGAAGTGACCACTCTTTCTAGAAATTTCTGCATAATCTGCCCCTTAATTTGCATATAATATAATTGCATATAATTAAAAACGGGCATAAACATGACTGCAGAACTGCCCCTGAGCTGCTACTGTGGGCATACTGCCTGTGAGGTAGCCCTCTTCTGCAAGGATCTCTGCTGCTGCTGTACACTGCTGCCTCAATAAAAGTTGCTGACACCACGGGCTCATCCTTGAATTCTTTCCTGGGTGAAGCCAAGAACTCTCCTGAGCTAAGCCCCAGTTTTGGGGCTTGCCTGCCCTGCATCACCACCTGTGACCTCCCAGCTGCCAGTGGAGAAGGATGAGTGCCTGCATCTGGAAGATGACATGTAGACCACCCCTACAATGGGCAGTTCATGCTGGAAGCAGCTGGACCCAGTCCCTGGTCCTGGAGGTGGGAGGAGGAAAGGGAAGTGAAAGAATAGAGAAAGCCTTGCAGGGTCCTATGTCCAAAGCAACCTGGATACATGAGTCTCCCTGTCAACAGGTTGCTTCTCTCACGCCGAGCATGTTGATGCACATGGTAGAGAGCCAGCCTGCATCTCCGTGGAGGTCATCCTGAAGTGAGGTCTGATACTCCAGTGGTTAAGAACTTAGGCACTGAGTCAGACCAACACGGATTTGAATTCTCACCTCCACTACTTACTCCGTGGGTGGCCTTGGGGAAGATAAAGTCACCTTGCTGGGCCTTAGTTTATTCATCTGTAAAATGGGTTCAACACCACCTCCCACGGTTGTTGTGGAAAATAAAAGAGAGAAAGTTTGTAAAGTGGTTAGCCCTTCCCCTGCCCCACTGTCCTCATCCAATAAATGCTAGTCTAAGTTCCATTCTCACATTAAGAAATGAAAAAATAACCACCTTATAGAATTGTAAAAATGGAGGGAGGTAATGTATATTAAACAATTAGCACAGAAACTGGCACATGGACGCTACTATAATCATTTTGGTATCATAAATAATAACCAAGATAATTATCTCCTGACAGAGCTATCGGCTGGGGCCAGATGGACCCTCTAAGTGTGTCAAAGTTCGATCAGGTCAGCATCCCAACTGGAAGCAGATAACAGACTCAAACTGGATAATGTCAAGGAGGCACTGTTTACAAAGCTGTGGGTGGAGTGTGGGGAAAACACAGAGGATAGTGAAGCACCACAGAGCTGCTGCCAGTGTGAACTGTTACCATCCCAAAGGCCTGCGGGGCAAGGGCAGGGAGCAGTTCCCTCCGGAGGAGGCTGTCTGCAGAGAGGCTGCTTACCAGGGACTGTGACCTTAAGCTGAGGGACACAGCAACCCCAACAGCAAGGGAGCTAGGGGGTCCATGCCTAACCCTACTCTCCCGCCAAGGCTCCCATTGGCCAAGGCCACCAGAAAGCCAGGGGCTCAGGGACTGGTCTGTGAAGTGACAGAGGTCAGCACCCCACGGCAGGGAGCTGGATGGAGAAGGGTGGACAGTGAATCTGGAGGGGAAAATGGGAGACACTCAGCTCATTATCGGAATCAGCTGGGTAATGCTGGCTGCTTGGGGACCCCAAACCCTGAAACTCCCATGCCCCCCCCATTCTCAAGTTTGTGACCAACAGTAGTAATCTAGTGATAGTTCTGGCAATGGCAAATGCTCAGCATGTAAAAGTACAAGGGCTTGCGCAAGAACATACAAGCAACATGCACTGAGCACCTATAACATAAGAGTCCCAGTGAACAGGCCACACAAAGTTCCTGCCCTTCCAGATCACAGAGTGGCGTGGAGCACACAGACAAGTAGACAGGCAATGGCAGAGTCGTGGGACAGAGAAAGCCCGGAGACAGTTGTGGGGACTCACAGCAAAGAAAACCAGGAACACCTCCGGGAGAAAGGGGAGCCTACACAGGATGGGAAGGAAGAGAGGAGAAGAGGTCAAGTGAAGAAGGTCAAGGTCCTGGGGGCAAGAGGGAGTGGGGCTTAAAGTAGCTTTAAATAGCTCATCTGGCTGGAGTGCAGCATTTGAGGCAAAAGTGGTGAGAGATGAGCCTGGACAGGAAGGCTGGGGCCAGGTCACATAGGGCCTCGGGGAGAGAGAGAGAGAGAGAGAGAGAGAGGGAAGGGACGCACATGTGTTGGAAGGGATCAAGTGAACAGGAATGGAGCTCTGCTTGGAACCCAGAGATGGGGTGGGAGTGTGTCTAGTATCTAATTTCTGCTGGCATGAGCAGCCGGGAGAAGCACATGTATGACCTGACCTGGGAGGTCAAAGTGACCCACAAACAGGTGAACACCCCGATCCTTCTATTTCCAATCAGGAGGTTGTTTTCAGAGCTCAGCAGCTTCCTCCCCTCTACCAAATCCACCCACAGTCATAATCTCCCAAATATCTTCCCCCCTTACCTCCCCTTGCAGAACCAAGAGCTCACCCAGCTGCCAAAAGGCAGCAGATGGAGACAAGTTGGAGGTGGTGGTGGGGGGAGGGGTGGGGCGGGGCGGGGCGGGAAGAATACTTCAGGACTCTGAAGATGACACAACACAGCTTACTCAGGAGACAGAAATGTGATCTGTCCTCCTGGGGGCTGGCACTACTAGGGGGGCAATGAGCTGCCAGGTATAATTAGACTAAGCCCCAGCAACAGGCTCTCTGCCCCATTCATGTCAGCACCCTCTTTCTGGCGTCTGCTTCTGGTCCCTATGCAGCACAGCTTTATCCAGTGACTGAACTGGAAGAGCCTCACAGCACAGAAGAGTCCTGTGGTTTGTTCCCCTTACTGTCATTACACTAGGAAAATTAATAATTATTAATAATGATTGATGACAACAGAAATAATAATAATGCAATCATAGCAATTGCTTTTTGAGTATATACTTTGTGGCAGATACTTGGCAAGGTATTTAACATACATAACCTCATCTAATCCACCCAACAAGCCTAGGGGGAAGGTAATATATCCTCATTTTCCAGATGATGATAATGAGATTCAGAGAACATTAAGTGATAAAAGCAGAAATTAGGCCAGATACAGTGGCTCACACTCATAATCCCAGCACTTTGGGAGGCCGAAGTGGGCAGATCACCTGAGGTTGGGAGTTCAAGACCAGCATGGTCAACACAGTGAAACCCCGTCTCTACTAAAAACACAAAAATTAGCCTGGCATGGTGGCAAGTGCTGGTAATCCAAGCTACTTGGGAGGCTGACGCATGAGAGTCACTTGAATCTGGGAGGCAGAGATTGCAGCGAGTCAAGATTGTGACACTGCACTCCAGCCTGGGTGACAGAGCAAGACTGTCTAAAAGAAAAAAAAAAAAAGCAGAAATGGAACTTAGGTTGTCTGGACTTCTAAGCACAGGTTCTTAACTGCTCTGTCCTGTGGATCTCCCCTCCCACCGGACACCAGCAACTTGATCTGCTTCTGAAATGTGTTGTCATTGTTCCAGGTTGGGAGTCAGTTCCAAGCTCTAGTCTAGGATTCTGAGAGCTGGATTCAGAGGATTCTAACCCACAACTAATGAGTCTTTATCATCCAGGTTGATGCAGCCTTGCATAAATGGTGGATATAGTAGGAGAAAGGTGAAAAGGAAAATTGGCCCCTGACCTTGGAAGGCATTAAAGGTGTTTGATGGAGACAGTGAAACAAACTGAGCTGGCCTCTGTTTTGATGTCTGTAGGTCTGAACACCCTTCTCCAAGCCTAACATTTGTAACAGGCTCCACGCATATGTACTCAGATCTAGCAAGCATTTATTGGGCCCCTGCTGGACAAAGTAGGCTACTACAGACACTATGCAAAATGAGGAAGAGTCCAAGTGATCACTTTCCAGGAGGGTCTAATCCCTGAGGCAGGAAGCAGTTTCCCCAAGTAATGCAAAAATGGTAGTCACTGCCTGAACTTCTAATGGCTGCAAACTGCTGCTTTGTGGCTTCTAAAGCAGGCAGGTGCGTTCGAGAGAGCAGGTGTCCTGATATCCCAACATTCAGCATCCACTATTTTCCCACATCTTCACATACAAAAAAAAAAATAATCCCTACATCTTTCTCCAGCTCCATCTATCCTTGAGGTAGGAACTAATTACCCCCTGTAACTTCAGGATGATCAGCATGATTTGGGGCAGACACGCACACAGAGGCTGATAAAGTCTTTTCTGATGTAAATCAGACAATTCCTTCCTAGATCAGAATGCCTTGTTTACTCATTAGTGGAGCTTTGGACACTAGCAGCAGACAGACTGGCTCCAGGGCATTTAAAAGGTCAAGAATCAGGAGCCCAGGAAGTCAGATCAACTGGGATTCAGACCAACAGAGCATCCAGGGGTAAGGGTGGTTTTCTAAATGCACCAACAGTGCACTTTGTCCTGGAAAAGAATGTGATCCAGCAGTCAGAGACAAGCCTCTCTAGGAAATGGCCTTTCTCTCCAGCCCAAGGTGGCTAATAACCCTTGGGTTCCTGTCTTCAACTGGAAGCCTTGCCTGAAATCACTTTGACCTTGAGGAAACCAAGACTGCCTTGGGGAAACTGAGCCAATAAAAAAAAGGAATCCTGTATAGTCTGGAACCCACTACAATCCACAAGAATGATCTCTTATTCCAACCAAATAGGATAGTAATGACTTAAACTAACAAGCAGGGACAATTTAGCTCACTTTTGTGCACCAGACATTCCTACTAAACACCCAACACGAATCCTTATTTAACACAACAGTCCTAAGAAGTACCTATGTTTGTCCTCATGTAATGGATGAGGCTCAAAGAGGTTAAATCATTCACTCAAAGTTATCCAGCTAGTTCAATGGTGGAGCTGAATTTGAACCCAGGTCTCTGCAAATCCAGGTTGGCCTAATCCACTCTGGTGGGAAGAAATAGCTGTTACCCAGCATTGGGGAGTTATAAAGGTGTTGGGGCAGTGAGCTTGGTGAAGCCCAGATTTGAGAGAAAGGATATATGTGTTTGTTGTTTGTTTTTCCCAGCACCATTCAGAAGAAAGAGTGCCCCGACAGGCTGAACCGGTTATATTGTGATGGACTTAGAGGATGGATGGATGACTCACCACCTGAAGGTTTTAAAGCTGGTAGAAAACACAAATAGAAACTTGTTGGCTAGCATCTTAGAAAAAAAAATCTCCCTGTTCTATAGACATAGAAACCACGCCACAGATGGAAAGTGTCCTGCCCGAATATGGACTTAGATTGCTGGGGTTTTTCCTGGTTTCCAGAACAATGCTTTTTCAAATAACAACAGCAGCAATAGTAGTAGTCCACATTTTACTCAGTGCTATGTGTCAGGCTCTGTCCTAGGTATTTTATGTACATTACGTTGTTCAATTTTCACAAAAGCCTCATGGGTAAGTTCCAAAGCTCCAAGAAGTTGAGTCAATTGCCTAAATCACACAATTAGAAAAAGGCAAGGATTAGATTTTAAAACAGAGACAGCCTGACTCCAAAATCTGAACTCGTAACTCCTAACCTGTACTTCCTCTTTAGAGTAACAGTCACTCAAGTGTTCAGCCAGAACACTAAGCAGAATGTTCCAGGTGAATGAGAGACTGCCTTCCTTTCATGAGCTAAACAGCTCATCAAAGAGACAGACACATACATAGGTAATTTAATACAGTGTAAACATGCTTTAATGGGGGAGGAAGCAAATAACAGTTTCAGTGAGTTGGACAAAGACCACCAAGAGATGTTCCATGAGCTGAGTTTCAAGGGATAAGTAGGTGGTGTTTGCTTAATGAAGAAGGGAAAAGCATTCCAACAGAGGGAACAGCAACGCATGAGGAGAGAGCTAGGAAGCATGATGTGTCTCTAGAGAAAAAGAAATTCTAATTGGCTAGGGTATTAAGTAGGAAACAGAAACAGATGAGGCTATGGAAAAAAACCCAAATGTTTATCAATAAGTAAATGGATTTTTTAAAGTTTTGTGATATAACTATAGAATCGAAGACTACCCTACAGAAAAAATAATACAAGCCACAATACGGATGAATCTCAAAAACATTATATTGTGTCAAAGAAACCAGACACAAAATAATATATACTGTATGATTCCATTTAAATGAAATTCTAGACAAAACACAACTACGTGATGGAAAGATGGGCGTGGTGGCTCACACCTGTAATCCCAGCACCTTGGGAGGCTGAGGCAGGCAGATCACCTGAGGTCAGGAGTTCAAGACCAGCCTGGCCAATATGGTGAAACATTGCTACTAAAAATACAAAAATTAGCTGGGCATGGTGGTACACACCTGTAATCCCAGCTACTCAGAAGACTGAGGCAGGAGAATTGCTTGAACCTGAGAGGCGGAGGTTGCAGTGAGCCGATATCATGCCACTGCACTCTAGCATGGGCAACAGAGTGAGACTCCACCAGAAAGAAAGAGAGAAAGAGAGAGAAAGAAAAGAAAGAGAGAGAGAGGAGTGATGGTGATAGTAATCAAAAACAGTGGTTTCCTCTGTGGGGCAGTGGTTGACCAGAAGGGAGAAGGAGGTGATGATACTTCGGGGTCATGGAAATGTTCCATATCTTGATTACAGTCATGGTTACATGGGGGTGTAAATTTGTCAAAACTCATAAAGTCAAACTTTTAGGATCTGTGCATTTTATTAAGTGTAAATTATGCCACAATTTCAAAAGAGAGAGAAGGAGAGAGGAGAGGAGACAGAGAAAAGAGAGGATAAAAAGTCTGATTTGGATCTAAGTCTGAAGGACTATGTAGCCTGGCTAAGGAAATCAGACTCTACAGGGCAGGAGAGAAGCTGTTGAGATGTTAGAGGGGTGATCTGACACAGCTTGATCTGAGGAAGATCACTCTGGACTCTAAAGGAAGATGGAGAACTAGGAAAAGACAAGGAGGACAATTAGAAGCATAGTACCCAGGAGCTGGGTACTATTCCGTTAGGGCAGTCGCCACAGAAAAATTTTTATAAAAGGGGTAGGAACATTTCAGCTTGCAGAATTTGGAATGTCTGGATGTCAACTATGATGTGGAAGGTAGGGGCAAGGGAAGGGTGTGGACAACTCTGAGGTTTCTGGGTGACCATGTAAATGCCCGTATCCTTAATAAAGATGGTAACTTTTATTTTAAGGGGGGCATGTTTAGGGACACAGGAGGGAGTTAGAGCAATTAGTTTAAGTTTATATATGGTGAGCTTGAAGTACTTTTGAGACATCCAGGAGTGAGGGGCAGATGAATAAGGACAGAAAAGAAATTGGGGACAGAGAGAAATGCAAGAAACAAGAGTAGTTATACAAGTTATAATTTGTATACAATGGCCAATTACACAAGTTGCCATTGATAACGTGCTTCCTATGTACTTCCTATCTCTTGATCCTCACAATGCCCCCTGAGGGAGATGTCCTTATAGAGGGCCACATAAGTTGCTCAAATCATCCAACTGGTAAGGGAGGAACCAAGATTCAAACTCAGGCCAACTAACCACAATGCTGAGAAAAAGATTCCTGACTACCATCCCACGAAGTGGATAGGAGCCCTCCAGGTGAGAATGTGCACTGAGCCTAGCCAAAGCTTCCATTGGCCCATAGCCCCAGAGTCAGGGTCTCCTGCCTCCTAGTGCAATTCAAATTAATAAAACCGGATTGAGAACCACAGACTTCAGGAAGCACCCAGTTTTAAAGAACAGGGTCTGCCCCTCCAGAGCTCACACACAAATTCCAGGCCATCTTTGGACTCACTGATTTGAAGAATCCTACATGCCATGAAGGGATTCCTCAAGGCTAAGTTTGGACTTGGTACCAAAATAGACTCACCTCTCACTATAAACCAATTCTGGGTCTATTGTGTATAATATAGTAGTCTTGTATAGGTAGCAGCAACCTGAATCTGTCCTGAAGACACAATTCCTCAACAACTCACTCAACAAGCATGTGTTAATTGCTAGCTACGTGCTAGGCATTGTGATAGGCACTGGCAAATACAAGTGTTTAAAAACATAGTGCTTAAAGTATCAACAAAGCAAGGGTACCATAAAACTGAGGGAAAAAAATATCTTTTAAAAATTTCATATTTTATGGCTGCATAGTATTCCATGGTGTTGAAGCTGGAAACCATCATTCTCAGCAAACTAACACAGGAACAGAAAACCAAACATTGCATGTTCTCACTCATAAGTGGGAGTTGAACAATGGGAACACATGGACACAGGGAGGGGAACATCACACACCAGGGCCTGTTGGGGGGATGGGGGGCAAGCGGAGGGATAGCATTAGGAGAAATACCTAATGTAGATGACGGGTTGATGGGTGCAGCAAACCACCATGGCACACGTATACCTATGTAACAAACCTGCACGTTCTGCACATGTATCCCAGAATTTAAAGTATAATTAAAAAAGAATTTTATATTTTATATCTACTGTAGTTATTAACAATGTATTGTATACTTAAAAATTGGTAAAAGTAGATTTTAAGATTTTAAGCATTCTCAGCACAAAAAAAAAAATGGTAAGTATGTGAGGTAATGCATACATTAATTAGCTTGATTTAGCCATTTCACAATGTATACATATTTCAAAGCATATTATATACCATAAATATTTTTTGTCAATTAAAAAAATAGAATATATTTATAAATGAGTTGTAATAGCAAAAAAAAAAAAGAAAGAAACTTAAAAAACAAGTAATTATCACAGTAAAAATCAGAATTTAAATGGCACCATACTATTCTCAGTAATATGAGTCTCTAAGGAAAGACATTGGTCTCTGCCTTTCTGGAACTGGGTGAAATATATGTTAGGGGAGATTTGAATATGGTAGAATTTTTGAGTTATACGTGTCTTGGTTCAAATCCCAGTTCTGCCACCTTCCGACTATGTGATCCTTAAATTATGAGTCTTAGTTTATTCATTTGTAAAATGTAGATAGAATCAACTTAGAGTTGTTATAGGGACTCATAAAGTAGTGTCAGGAAAGTGTATGGCGGAAGTCAATATAAATCAAATCTTACTATGAGACTTTCCTTCTCCTAGGCTGTATTAGTTATCTATCACTACATTAAAAAATCACCATGAACTTAGAACCTTAAAACAACACACATGTATTATCTCACAGTTTCAGCATTAGGAATCAGGCATCATTTGCCTGGGTTCCCTTTCTTAGATCTCTCATAAACCTGAAATCAAGACACTGGCCAGGGTTAAGGTCTCATCTGAAAGCTCAGTGGAGAAGATTGCACTTCCAAGCTCACTTATGTTGTTGGCAGGATTAATTTCCTTTGGGATATTAGACTGTGAGACTCAGTTCAAGCTGGCTGGTAGCCAGAAGCCACCCTCAGTTTCTTGTCACATGGGCATCCCCAACATGGCAACTAGCTTTACTAAAGCCAGCAAAGGAGAGAGTTTGCTAGCAAGACAGCAGTTCCAAGCTTATATGATGTAATCATGGAGGTAACATTCCATCTCCTTTTCCATATTCCACTGCCTAGAAGCAAGTCGCAGGTCCTGCCCACACTCAATAGCAGAGGATTTCACAAAAGTGTGAAGAGTGGGGTTGGGGGCCAATGGGGCCATCTTATATAGCCTGTCTACCACACTGGCTGACATTTCTCACTCCTTCAGCACAGTCCTCTACTATTGGCACATCAAAAAGGATGCACCTGCTTTTCAACCCAAAAGATCTGTGGCATTAAGGCCCCCACCAACATGGCAGTATAGGTTGGCCACCTGCTGAAAGGCATCTGCAAATCCAATGTCCTTGTCTTTGAACAAGACTGAATATAGGCGTATACCTGCCTTCTGAGATACACATAAGCTTCATGATCTAACTTGATGTGTGTCATCTCATCTAAAGGCAGATTAAACTTTGCTTACAGATACTTTCATAAAATGAAAGTGTCCTATTTGAGATTAGGCAGAATCACATAAAACTTAACACTTTTGAGACCAAGTTACATTTATTCATTCAGCAAATATTTAATGAATATTTACTTAGTGCCAGCACCACTCTGGAGATTGAGCATACTGTTGTAAACAGAACAGAGAAAGCCTTCATCCTGGAGCTCACATTCTATTGGAGGAGGGGTTAGGGAGAGACAGTAAAATAATTACACAGCATGTTTGGCAATGTTAATAATGTATCAAATGTGACTCCATTATAAAGTTTAAACATGAAATTTTAAATCCATGGTTTATTACCAAATATGAGAATTACTTTTAAAAGTTCATTGACAATCCCAGTAACTACTGCCTCAAACAGAACGAAGTTTCTCCAAATTGAAATTGTTTTAAACTATGAATATCTTAGTTGAGGTAGCAAGTACATGAGTATACACATTTGTCACAATGCACTAAAATGTTACATTTAGAATGTGTGCTTTTTATGGAATATATAATTTATACATCTAATAAGTTTATGAATTATACATCTAATAAAGCAAATAAAAATAGAAAAACAAATAAAAATTAATTTCAGAAAGAAACTACCTAAGAAGTACCATCCCTGAAGACAGATTTTCCCAGTTTGACATCATCATTGATAGATCACAAATTATCTGAAAATACTGATTATAACCATATAGTTAGCCATTGTGCTGTCATGAGAACAAGAAAATAGGTATTGCATTATGAATATACAGCAGTTTGTGAAATACATATGCCTTGAGTTTACTGCTTATGCAAACATCATTGGCCTGTAAACTGAACACCAAGTCTCATACAATAATTACATTCAGTCATCTTTGATATTTTGCTAAACTTCAGTTATATAGAAACCATATTATTACACAGAAAAATTGTATTTTGTTGTTTTCAGATGTTTATGTACACATTGGAGCTCAGGACATATTTTATTCAACAGTTTGTTAGTTTGCATTATAACATTTAAATTTTAGACAGTTAGTGTGTGGACTGCCCTGTATTCTCTTGCCTGGAGTCTCACCAATGTCAAAGATGGACCTGCCCAGTAGCTCTTCTTTCACCTTGAAGGTAACACAGGGCACCGGTTGAAAGCAAAGCCACAAGAATCACTAAGTTAAGTCCAGTTCTGTCCTGCACAGCTGTGTGTCCTGGGGCAAGGCACTCTCTGCTCAGAGCCTCACTTTCCCCACCTGTAAAATGGAGCTGATAGAAGATACTTTGTCGGGATACAGGGACATTGGTGGACGGTAAGTGAGAAAACAGCCTGTAACTAAGTTAGCCCTGATCCTGACAGACCATAAATCCTAAAAATAAATTATCTATCACTAGTGTTATGGTGGAAACAAAAAAACCCTCTGGCCCTTCTTTGTGCAGAATTCCTTTTGGGTGTTTATGGGAGGGCACGTCTGGGAGGCAAGGAATTTAGAGAGCTGGGAATGGCTATGGAATAAAAGGTGAGGCTGGAATACAAGGCAGAAGCAGCAGAGAGATCAGAGCTGAGGCTCTGGGAACTGGAGAGATGACCGTTAGTGGGTTAACCAGGGCTCAGCCCCACCATCCGTCAGAAGAGGCTGACTCCATTTGTGATTCATGGGGCCGGGGCCTGGGCCTGCCTGGGGGCTGAAGACGGCTGCATCACAGATGCTAGGGGCCACCAGTACTGCCCAGGAAGCTTGTAAAAATGCAGGTTCCCAGGACCCACCCCCAGAAATTCTGATTCAGCAGATCCCAGGATGGGGCCTAGGACCCTGATATTTTACAAGCATCTGTTTTCAGGGCAATTCCAAGGGTTCCTGCTCTTCTAGTATTATAAGTAAGCCATATTTATCTCACACTTTTTTTTTCTTTTTTCTTTCCTAAGACATAGGATCTTCCTCTGTCACCTGGGCTGGCATGCAGTGGCATGATCATAGCTCACTGTAACCTCAAACTTCTGGGCTCAAGCAATCCTCTGGCCTCAGCCTCTTGAGTAGCTGGGACTACAGGTGTGCACCACCATGTTGGCTAATTTTTATGTATTCATTTTTTTATGGATGGGGTCTCGCTATGTTGTCCAGGCTGGTCTCAAATTCCTGATCTCAAGGGATCCTCCTGCTTTGGCCTCTTGAGTAGCTGTGACTACAAGTGTGAGCCACCACATGAGGCTCATTTCACACTTTCGAATATGTACACCCTGTGATCAGTTAGAGCCCTCGGAATCGCTGCATCCACCCGGAAGGGGCAGGGATTCATAGGAGAGCCCCTTTTCACTGCTGGGTAGGATGAGGCTGTGCCCCAATATTGAAGGAGCACATTGAAACCCATCAGACCTAGAAATCAAGGTGCATCAGACAGCAGGAGATGGAAGTAGCTGAAACCACTAGGTCTGGGGCAGGGGTTGGCAATCTTTTCTGTAAAGAAGCAAATAGTAAATATCTTAGTCACTTCAGGCCAGCAATCTCTGTGGCAACCATTCAACTGTGTCACTGTGGCAAAACGCAGTCATGGGCATGGTTGCGTTCCAATAAAACTTCATTTACAAAAAACAGACAATAGGCCAGGTTTGGCCCCTGGGCCATAGGTTTGCCAATCCCTGATCTGGATTCAGATGGAAGGGTGGCGAAATCCCAGCTGTGTGTCCTTTCCTAAGTCACCTCACTTCTCTGAGCCTCAGTCTCCTTACATGCAAATTCAGAAAAATAATGGCACCAGCTTCACAGTGCTGCTGTAAGGACTGTTAAAGAGCTCAGCACCATTTCTGGAACTCAGCAAACCATGATAAAAGTCAGCAATTACTCATGTCTGATCCAGACTGCGGAGATTTCAACCATGATGCCATGGTCTGAATGTTTTTATCCCCCCAAAATTCATGTGTTGAAATATTAACCCCTAAAGTGATGGTATTAGGAGGTGAGGACTTTGGAACATGATTAGGTCATGAAGGTGGAACCCTCACGAATGAGATTAGTGCCTTTGTAAAAGAGGCCCCAGAGAGCTGCCTTGGCCCTTCTACCATGAGAAGACAACAAGAGGTGGCAGCCATGAACAAGGGAGCAGGCACCAAATCTATTGGTGCCTTGATCTTGGACTTCCCAGCCTCTAGAACTGTGAGAAATAAATGTTTGCTGTTTATAAGCCACTCAGTTTATAGTATTTTGTTATAACAGCCTTAATAGAATAAGACAAATGGCTCCACCCCTTGCAAGCTGGGTGACCTTGGGCATATGATGTAACCTTCCTGTCCCTCAATTTCTTTCTCATATCTAATGTAGGGATAATAATATTTGTGAGAACTAAATGAGACGAGAAATGCAAAGTACTTAGAAAAATGCATGTAAATGTGCTGAAAAGTTAGCTTGAATTATGTTTGCTATACTGTGATTATAAATTGTTATTTTATTATTATATTATACAATTCATCATACGGAAGGGATTGAACCAACAGAGTAAGGGAGAGAATCCCTTCTTCACCAGCAAAAATAAAAAATAAAAATAACAACAACAAAACAAGTACCATAAGGCCAGCCTTTCCCAAAGCCTCTTAAGACTTGAGCCTTTCGTCCAAGACATTAGCTGTAGAAATGTTTTTCTCTGCACCCACAAGGCAGCCCAGAGACATCAAACACAGAAACAAACTGAGCCGAAGCTGAATTGTGTTCATCTTCGTAGTGTAGTTTTGCCTCTGAATTCTTACTAAAGATGAAATACCACGTCTAGAACCTCCTTGGGAACTTTGAGACAAAGCCCTGTGACGGGGGATAAAAAACCGTCCTACTTTAACAAGCAGATGCTTTTTAGATGGTTTTAATCTTAGTTCTGCATTGGTTCCATCCTTTATTTAGTCTCCAAAATTTGCATCAGGCTGCCAAACACCAGTGATGCCTCCACAAATACATTATCTTCTTTTACTAATATCTATACTAGGTCTATTCAGATGGGTGTTCTCCCAACACGCACAGAAGCCAACACAATTAACTTTCCTTAAAGGAAATTCAATCACCTTTGCAGAAAACAGTTCTTGAGCTCCTTCTCTGGGTTGATACAGCAACACACACACAGAAGTCCAAACAGCACTAAAGTAATTAAAGCAGCTGGGATTGATCGGGGTTCTGAATGACCTTTTGGTAACTTACCTACGCCTGCCATTTAGAGAAAGAATAATTTATGATGCAAGTCAAAGTGCAGAAAACCAAAGCAGACAGAGAGAATTCTGATTAGCCTTGGAAGGGTGAACTGTCAAGGAAGCGCCCCCCGGAGCCCCTCATGAAAACAGGGAACAAAAGCAGTAAACGTCCAGGTTCGCCCAGACACAGGCGCCTGCGGTTCCTGGTGTGTGTCTGCTCCTCTGGCTCATAGAATCCAAGAATTTCAGGTTGGGAAGGCCTTAAAGGTCTAAGTGAGCCCACTCCTTTGACAAGTGAGGAAACTAAGGCTTAGAGGAGGGATTTATTCTAGGTCTCCTGCATGGCAAGTGGGAAGATTTTACCACTTCTTCGGGACAACTGTACTCAAACCAAAGGCAACTTCAACCCCTAAAATGCCCTTTATGTGTAAATTCCAAATAAATTTGCAATTAAAATTACAAAATAACTTTGTAGAATACAAGCCCCATGAGAGCATGGATTTTTTTTTTCTGTTTTGTTTACTACTGTAACCTGAGCAGCTAGAATAATTGCTGGCACCTAGGAGACACTCAATATATTTTTGTGCAATAAGATTTTAGAATTAATTATCCCTGAACTCAAGAGGTGCATGGGTCAATACAGAGCTGAATAGGTTCTGTACCCAAAATGGTACCCATTTGAGAGGCCAACTCATGAAAACAAAAGATTTAGATGCTCAATGTATTTTACTGGCACTAAAGATTAGTCCACCACAGCCTCTCAATGAACAGTCCCTGCGATATGGATGACCACTAGTAAAGTCTATGCACCTGGGAGAAATGACTATATGGTTGGGACTTCCTATAATGCATTCCTACAAGTTTGCTACCTTTTCTATGCTGTTACTTCCACCTTGGAAACCCTTCACTCATCTCTGAATCTTAACACTTCATCCACACTTTAAACCTCAGCTCCTCTGCAGCCTCCTCCAGGAAGCTCTTTGCTTTCTCCTAGACAGAAGCAATCCCTCCCCTCCTTAATCTAACTCCCACACAGCCTTTAAATGGCACTTTGTCAAGGGGGCCTTGCCTGACCCTCTGGATGAGGTTAGATTTTCCTACTCCCTATACTGTTACTTGCATAACACTAATTATACTTTATTTATTGCCTGTCTTCCCCCATGAAACAGTATGCTTCATGAAGTCAGAGACTACATCTGTTGTATTTTGCCATTGTATCCCAGCACCCAAGATAGTGTCTTGTCCACAAGACATGAATAAATGAATGGATGGACAAATGGATATATGGATGGACAGATGGATCAATTAATACATAATTGAATGAATTAATCAGTGAATCAGTTAATGGAACAAATAAATGAATAAATCCATTAATTAATGAACAAATCAGTGAATCAATGAACGAATCATGTATATGCTATTTACCCAATCTCTAATATGCTGTTGAATTTATTAATATTTCTCCAAGATAGAATAATACAGTGGTTGAAAGTGTGATTTCTACAGCCTGGCCAAATCTGGTCTCTCTGTACAGCCTGTGTGACCTTAGGCAAGCTACTTAACATCTCTCAACCTCAGTGAGAATGATCATACTGCCCATACTTTGTAGGACCGTAGGATTAAATGAGATAATATGTGTAAAGTGCTTTCTACAGTGGTCGGCACATAACAATTACTCAATGAATGTTAGCTTTCATTGCTCTGATGTTATCTTAGGGCAAGAATTGCCAAATTTATCTTGGTATAAGGCCCAGCATCTAGCACAGTACATGTATTGGGCTCCCCAAAAAATATCAAATAAATAAATGGATATTTTAAGCCTCTCTGCCAGGACACCTCAAAATTGTGGGAATGTCAAATTTGCTCATGTCATAAAGGAATCTAAAAAGACATGACAGCTAAATGCAATACCTGATGCTGGACTGGATCCTAGAGGAATGCTGGGTCCATTTGCAAAGCTGAACTATAAATGGTAGATGAAAGTATTGCATCAATGTTAAGTTATCTGCAGTAGATAACCACGATGTGCTTACATTAGAGGCTATCTGTACTCTTAGGAAATACATGGAAAAACATAGATATAAAAAGCCATATCATATGCAACAAAATTATATATAAAAAGACTTGCAAATTGTGACATGAATGTGAGAGCCACCTTGTATTACAGTTCTGGGTTTTCAAATAATAGTTGAAAAATCAAAAATAATAGCTAAAGATAATAACAGAAAAGCAATCTTGGGAACTAAAGTAGGGAATCGGCTGAGAAGCCTGCAGAGGAGACCAACACATGACTTCCATTGCTCCTTGATGGCAAACGTTACTAACGAATATGGCATCCTTTCTCAGTAAATCCAAACACAGCCTCAGAACCCTTCTCAACGCAGCTACTACCTACCAAACAAAGTTGTTCTTCTGGATGAAACAGCCGGATGTGACCCCTACCAGAGATTTTTCTGTTCCAGTTGGAGACACATTAAGATTCAAAGCCCTTCTAATGAAGGCATTTCAGCTCTTGGAACAACTAAGTAGATAGTCTTCAAACTACAGCTCAAAGATCTCTTTGATAATTTATCCCTACCAAAACTTAATATTGATTTTATTTTAGAGAAAGAAGGTGCTATGAGGTAGGAAGGGGTGTGTGTGTGTGTGTGTGTGTGTGTGTTTGAATACCAGCTCTGCCACCTTCCAACCTGAACACGTTGTCCTACATTCCTGCACCTCAATTTTCTCATCTGTGAAAAAGGGCTAACAACCCCCAGGCTTTTGTGAGAACCAGCAAAGTTCATGAATGTGAGCATCTTGTACCCTTTACAGATAAATTCTATGATTATTGTGATAATGATTATCAACATCATCATAATCATCATCTTTCCCTTTTTTCTTCTTTGCAATTACCCGCAGCTAATGGAGTCCTGCTTCTCTTTAGAGGTTGAAGAGCCATCTCTGCCCAGAACATTTCCAGCTTGGGTTTTTCAACAACCCACGGAGCTCTCCTGCCTTGAACTTGAATCATGCTGGAGTTTCGAGAGAGCAGTTACATGTCCATTTCCTTCAATTATCAGTGAAAGATAAAGTGCCCTGGCTCTCGGCCCCAGATGCCACCTGGCCTGGCCCATCTAGGGTTTCCATTATGAGCCAAGGTAGAAAAACCGGGCCTGCAGGTTTATTCTCTGTCCCTGGCCCTCTAACTAATAGGACTTCAGCCACTCTCTTGAGCATAAAGCTTTCTCTCCGGGCAAAGCCAACCAATTTGAATGGCACTCACGGCTCATGTCTGTATGTCATGAGCTCCTGAGTACTCCAAGGGGCCAGAGCAATAAATCTATTAGGTCTCCTTTGTCCCATCTTGTCGTGAACTTCTAAGAAAAAGGCACTAAGAGGATCAGTACCCAGAAAACCTTCATAATTGTGGCTTCTACACGGCGAATGAGGACAATTACCAAGGCAACCGGCCAATCATTCTGGTTAAGGGCAGAGAGAGTTTAGTCAAGAAGAGGCTCTTGCGAACTGTATTGCGCTGTAATCAGAGTAACCAACATTTTAAAAGGCCCTTGTGCAAAAACAGGAGGGATGGCAGGGAAGGGAAAAAGAAGAGGGGGGTAAATTAATTTCCTCTCATTTCCTGCCTGGTCCATTGATTGCGGTCCAAAGGCAAGATGATCTGCTGTACTCTTGCACCTGGGGCCACGGGAGCTGGCAGAGGAGCCGACAATGTTGTCTATCTTATGCCTGCATCTATTTATTTATCTTCCCCTCTAGGCTCAGCATCTGTAGCAGAGATCTCATGAAGAGTGAAAAAGTAAACATCTTTAAGGACAGTATAGAACCTCTTAAATTATCTTATAGTCCCTTGAGAAATAACAACACATCTGTCTTTATCCAGTCTTCCTTACCTTAGTTGCTGGTTTTGCCAGATCATTTTGTTACCCAAGTCATTTTGCTCATCAGAACGTCTCCTATGAAGTTATGTTGTAAATCAGGGTAATAAAAGGATAATTGGGGCATTGGGAGTACCCAAAACTCCAGACGCTTTTCCATTTTCAGGACTGTCAAGATTCTGGTTGCAGACTGAGTTAAGGATCCGCATCTTCCTCCTGGGCTGTACAAGGCTCCTGGGAGGGTTGATTATTTTGGTGAGCGTTTGTCTTTGATTCACAGGTCATAATCCTGTGTCTCTTGCCTTGGGTGCCAAGGACAGCAAAGCACTCAATAACCTGCCCTATGTTTGCTGAGCTTCCTGGTAGAATTAACAAAGCCATCCCGTAACACAGGAAGCTACCTTGTCCGTTAAGGAGTGCCATGTAACAGGAGGCATGAAAGGAGAGACATCCCCAACTGAAGAAATTCATCTATTCACTCAACCAACACAGGCCAGGTGCTATTCTTCTAACATCAGACAGGAAATGATTTCCTTGGTTCTTTCCGACTACAAGAGCCTATGATTCTAGTTACGTTGGGATAACAGTAATGACAAGAATATTAGTAGTAATAATGAGGGCAATAGCTACAAGTGTATCGAACATTCACTAAGTGCCAGGCCATGTATATGACCTCTCTGAAGCCTCTAGGATATTGTTGTATAATTCAGGGTCCCAGCAGGAGACAGTTGGCACACTCAAAGGGTTTAATTAAGGAGAGTTTAATAAACACAGGTGTGGACAGGGCTAAAGGAACCACCAAGAGATATTGAAATTCCTGAGGGCCAGTAAAAGTGGGGAGCTGTTACCACTCTTGGCCAAAGAAAATATTGTTCTTGGACCATGGGAGAGGAGCCACCCCAACAGGAGCTGAGGTCAGCGAGGAAGAGAGCGTGACCTAAAACCACATCCAGCAGGAAGGAGCTATGGAAATAGGCTATTCCAGGCTTCTCTTCTGCCCTCTAATCTCACCAGTGAGTCCGTCGGCCAATCCCAAAAGCAAGCCAGAGGCTGAGGGAACCTGGTGATCAAGTCTGTGCAGGTCAGCTCCCCAAAGCACAGAGTTAGGTGAGAAGGGTGGAGAGTTGTTATGGGGGGCAGGGAGGGGCACAGAGAGAACAGCCGGCACATCCATGTCCCCATTTCAAAGAGACAGGGAGTCCCGAGGCAGGAAAAACTAACCAAGGTCACCTCACTAGCAAGTGATGGCGTGAGAATTTCAGCGTGTATCTGCTAGACCCTGAAGCTGTATCTAGGATGGGACCCAAGGCTTATAGCCGGATGACACTGAGGAAACTAACAAGCATGTGAGGGGTGGGACAGTGGTTCTCAACTGTAGAGAGGGCCAGGGTCATGAGGGAGCTTTTTATTTTAAATTTATCTTAGGTTCTGGGGTACATGTGCAGGATGTGCAGGTTTGTTACATAGGTAAACGTGTGCCATAGTGGTTTGCTGCACCTGTGAGCATCAAGGGGAGCTTATTAAAATGCAGACTCCCCAGGCCCTATATGCAAAGATTCTGAGAGAAAGGGGTGGGTGTCCCCGTGGCTACTGAAAAGCTCAGGTCCCATCTAAAGGGGACTAGGTTCTGGCCGGGCGTGGTGGCTCACGCCTGTAATCCCAGCATTTTTGGAGGCTGAGGTGGGTGGATCACCTGATGTCAGGAGTTTGATACCAGCCTGGCCAACACAGCAAAACCCTGTCTCTACTAAAAATCCAAAAAAATTAGCTGGGCATGGTGGTGTGTGCCTCTAATCCCAGCTACTCGGGAGGCTAAGGCGGGAGAAATGCTTGGGCCCGGGAGGCAGAGTTGCAGTGAGCCGAGATTGCCCCATTGCACTCCAGCCTGGGTGACACAGTGAGACTAAAAAAAAAAAAAAAAAAAGAATAAAGGAGACTAGGTTCCATCTAAAGCCACTGCTCAGCAGCCAGGCACAGTGGCTCACGCCTGTAATCTTTGGGAGACCAAGACAGGCAGATCACAAGGTCAGGAGATCAAGACCATCCTTGCTAACACGGTGAAACCCCATCTCTACTAAAAATACAAAAAAGTTAGCCGGGCATGGTGGTGGGCACCTGTAGTCCCAGCTACTCGGGAGGCTGAGGCAGGAGAATGGTGTGAACCCGGGAGGCGGAGATAGAAGTGAGCAGAGATCGTGCCACTGCACTCCAGCCTGGGCAACAGCGCGAGACTCCGTCTCAGGAAAAAAAAAAAAAAAAAACCACTGCTCAGTTCCACCCACTTGTAACCCTGCAGATTTGAGAACCTAGTTTGTCAGCTCCTCCAATTTTCCAAGAGAACCCCAAAAAAATCCAGATTCTTAGGTAGAATCTTCCCCTTTTTAAATGAAGGCAACTAATTCAATGAGCAGCACCAAAATAAAACAAAGCAAAATCATCACGGTGGGGGCCACCCAAAGCATATCTGAAGGGCACCAGTGTGCAAGTGTGCAGTCTTCCTTGCAGAGAAAGCCATTCGGCATTGTCAGGCCCTGGGAGAACGTCCCAGCAAAGAAGTCGGAAGAAACCTAAGCTCCTGTCCTGGCTCTGCAGCTGGCCCCCTGTATGTCCTTGGGTAACTCCTGTCCCCTCTTGAGACCCCAGTCTCCTCAGCTGTCTACCTGAGGGAATTGGAAGTTGACAATCTCAAAGGCCCTTTTCCAGAACTTTCATGATTTGCATGCTTTTCCCTCAGAAGGAAAGCCATTCAGTTGTATAGTCATTTCTGAGAAATTTCCATCATGCCCTTCAAAAGCTGCTTGTCTCATTCGCTCCTACTGATAACGCATGCATGTCCCTTCTTAAAGGAGGAAAGAAGGTTAACCAAAGCCTATGGAATAGCTATTTCTATTTCTAAAATCCTCTAAGGACAATATAGAGTCTCTTAAAGAATCTTCTAGGGTTGGCCGGGTGCGGTGGCTCACGCCTGTAATCCCAGCACTTTGGGAGGCCAAGGCAGGTGGATCACCTGAGGTCAGCAGTTCGAGACCAGCCTAGCCAACATGGTGAAACCCTGTCTCTACTAAAAATACAAAAATTAGCCAGGCATGGTGGCGGGCACCTATAATCCCAGCTACTCAGGAGGCTGAGGCAGGAGAATCACTTGGACCCAAGAGGCGGAGGTTGCAGTGAGCTGAGATCGCGCCGTTGCACTTCAGCCTGGATGACAAGAGCGAGACTTCATCTCAAAAAAAAAAATCTAGGGTCAGTCATGATGGCTCACACCTGTAATCCCAGCACTTTGGAAGGCCAAGGTGGGAAGATCACTTGAGCCCAAGAGTTCGAGACCAGCTCTGGCAACATAGTGAAATCCCATCACTACAAAAATATTTAAAATTAGCCAGGCATGCTGGGGCACACGCCTGTGGTCCCAGCTACTCAGGAGGCTGAAGTGGAAAGATCACTTGAGCCCAGGAGGTTGAGGCTGCAGTGAGCCGTGATCACACTGCTGCACTCCAGCCTGGGTGACAGAGAGACTCTGTCTCAAAAAAAAAAAAAAAAAAAAAGAACCTTCTAGCCCCAGGAGAATAGAAATAATGGTGCCACCTTCTGAATCCAGCTGACATCACCTTATTTGCTGGTTTAGCCAGAACATTTCATTATCTAAGTCATTGTACTCATCAGAATGTGCCCTAAAAATTTATAGGAAGCATGTTGAAAATAAGGGTTATGTATGTAATTACTAATGTAACACTAACAATTTAATAAATAATGTGGTTATTAATGTAATACTAGTAATAACATAATAACTAATATCATCTCTCAATGTTGTTCAAAGTGTACAAAATTTCATTTGGGAGGAGTAAGTTCAAGATATCTGTTATTACACAACATGGTGACTGTAATTAACAACGTATTGTATTACCGAAAATCACTAAGAGAGCAGATTGTGTTTGCAGCACAAAATAATAAGTATGTGAGGTAATATACATGTTAATTTGCTCAAGTTAGCCATTCTACACTGCATACACATTTCAAAACATCGTGTTGTAAACCATAAATATATACAATTTTTGTCAATTAAAAAATAAATAATTTTTAAAATAACACTAACATGTAATATGACCAGATGATATTATGGCCAGAGGATTCAGGAATATTGGAATCCTGTCCCAGACCACATGAGGTCCCTGAGGGAATGATATGCGTGGATGGACATGTGGAAGGTGGTCATAGACTCCTGTCATGCTCAACTCAAGTTAACAGGGCTGGGCCACCTAGAAAGAACCTTTGGTTACAATAGCCTTAAGTCTATTGCAGACTCAAAGCCTTTTCTACTTGTTTCACTCCTTATACCCAAGTTCCAGAATCAAGGCCACTAAGGCAAGGATTCTTACGCCCCTCCCCTCCTGGGCCAACCCCACATCATTTCCCTCCTTTCCCATCTGGATCATCCCAACAGCCTTCTAATTGGGCCCCTTGTTCTTTTTCCTGAACTTTCTCTAAGGTTGTTAACTAATGCTTTACTTTCTGTTTTTAGATTTAACAAGTATATCACCCTTGAAACAAAAATAAAAGGCCAGGCATGGTGGCTCACACTTGTAATCTCAGCACTTTGGGAGACTGAGGCAGGAGGATTGCTTGAGGCCATGAGTTTGAAACCAGCCTGGGCAACATAGGGAGATGGTGTCTCTAAAAACAAAAATAAAAATAAAAATTATCCAGGCATGGTGGTGCACATATGTGGTTCCAGCTACTTGGGAGGCTGAGGTGAGAGGTTCACTTGAACCCAGGAGGTTGAGGCTGCAGTGAGCCAAGATTTAGCCACTGGACTCCAGCCTGAGTAACAGAGACTCTATCAAAAATAAGAAGAAGATGATCGCATACAAGGCAAGGAAATTATAATATATATGCCAAGAATGATCTAATTATTCAAGTTTCCATAACTTAAAAGGTAGAATGTTCTAGAGAGGAAGGGAGGTAAACATAAAACAGAGGAGGTTTGAGTGGAATTCACTATAAAGGGACTGTAGCTGGGCTACATTTCCTGGAGAATCTCTGCTTCTAAATGGCCTCCTTCTTTTCACGTTGGTCCCCTGCATTCATTTTCTACAAAGCTGCCAGGGAGGTCATCTTAAAATCTAATTTAGACCACGTCATCCCCTGCCTCAAGCCTTCCAGTGACTTCCCATCACATTTAGAAAAAAAATTCAAACTCTTTCAAGACCCTAGTAATCTAGACCAGGGATTGGCAAACTGTTTTCTGTAAAGGGCCAGATAGTACCTGTCTTCAGGTCTGTGGGTCACGCGGTGTCAGTGGCAGCTACTCAACTCTGCTGTTGCATCACAAAAACAGCCAAATACAATTCATAAATGAATGAACAGAGCGTTGTTCCAATAAAATTTTATTTTCAAAAACAGGTGGCAGGCTGGATTGACCCGAGGAGCACTGGTTTGCTGACCCCGATCCAGATTCTTGCTACTGAAAATGAGGTCCAGGGACCAGCTGCATCAATATCACCTGGATTTGTTGGAAATGCAGAGTCCCAGGCCTCCCCCTAGACCCTCTGAATTAGAGTCTGCATTTTAGCCAATCCTAGGCAATTTATAGGCCCAGATCCAAACTTTTGCTCTGACACCTAATCTAACCCCCTTCACTCTCTCCCCCTCTCTTTGTTCTTCTATCCAGGGCCGCTTGCCTCAAGCTTCCCCTGTGGCTGGTTCCATTTCCAGCAGAGCTTTTATCACTAATTATCTTGCTAAATCTTTTGCTTACTTGTCAATGGTTTGACTCTCCCTGCTAAAAAACAGAAGCTCTGAAGCCAGGGACCCTAACCGACCTGCTCACTGTTGCATTCTCAGCGTCTTAGAACAGTGACTGATGTAAGCTGGTTCTCAAGAAGTATTTGTTGAGCCAAAGATAAACAAAAGCAGAAAGCAGAGAATTCTTCCCCCCCCCCCCCGCACCCAAAGAAAGGAGTGTAGAGCTGTGTAAAGAGGAAGGAAAAGAAAGAATTCTAAGAGCCAAGTCTAAGCACCACCCCTGGTCACAGGGTCTGGGTTCTTCTAAAAACACCATAGCCACTGATGTCCTAATCCCTGTGGAAGACTCTGGAAATCACAGTTGCAGTCGTTTGTAAGCTCCTTCTGTCAAAACAGAGTCTATAACCCCACCGCTTGAATCTGGGCTTGCCTTGTGACTTGCTTTGACTAATAGAAAATGGTGGAAATGGCATTGAGTAAATTCCAGAATCTGGGTATTAAGAAATTTTCAGCTCCCACTTCTATTGAAACCCAGGCACCATGCTGTCAGGAAGCTGATCTAGACCACTGGAGGAAGTGGGGCCACATGAAGAACTGAGGCCCCAGCCAAGAGCCAGAACCAACTATTAGATGTGTGAGGAAAGCGGCCTTGGACATCCCAGCCTCAGTCACACCTCCAGCTGAATGCAGCCACAAGAGTGGCCCCAGCCAACACCACACAGAACAGAAACGAACGTTCTCTGCTGAGCCCTGTGCAAATCACAAAATTGTGAGCAAATAAATGGTTGTTGTTAAAGACGTGATCCTGTTATAACAAAAGATGATTGAAGTAATTCTCTTTAAATATCCATGTCCAAGAAAGATTTCTCCCATCAATGTACTGGAAACTGATTCATGCAAATTGGTGATTCTTATCCCTGGAGTGGGGGAAAGGAAAATGTGGGGGATGGAAGGAGACGTCTTCCCCTAGAAGGGGAGAGAAAGGACCAAATCTTTTTCACCCTTGAGAGTCCTGATGTGTGAGGATGACTCTTGTACATACAGCAAAAGCAGCTCACGTGAATTGTGGGGTTTTTTAATTGTAAAATACATATAAAAATTAGCATTTTAACTATTTTAAAGTGCGCATTTCGGTGGCATTGAATGCATTCACAACGTTGTGCACTCATCACTACTGTCTAGTTCCAGAGCTTCTCACCCCTCCACCCCCACTCCCCCAGCCCCTGGCAACCACCAATCTGCTTTCTGTCTCTATAGATTTACCTGTTCTGGACATTTCATATAAATAGAATCCTATGATATACAGCCTGTCTCATCTGGCTTCTTGCATTTAGCATAATATTTTCAAGGGTGATCCATGTTGTAGCATGGGTCAGGACTTCATTTATTTTTATGGCTGAATAATATCACTCTATGGATACACAACGCTTTGTTGACCCAACCATCAGTTGACAGGTATTTGGGTTACGCTCACCTTGCAGCTATGATGAATAATGCTGCTATGAAGACTCTCACACAAGTTTTGATCTAATCCAGTGGCTCTCAACCGGGGGTGATTGTACCCCTGAGGGACATTCTTGATTGTTCCAAATGAGGGCAGGTGCTATTAGCACCTAGGAAATGGAGGCCAGAGATGCTGCTAAACATCCTAGAATGTACAGGACAGCTCCCGCGACAAGGATCATTCAGCCCCACCTGGCGCAGTGGCTCATTCCTGTGATGCCGCTATTCGGGAGGCTGAGGCAGGAGAAGTGCTTGAGCCCAGGACTTGGAAGCTGCAGTGCGTCATGATCACACTGCTGCTGCACTCCAGCCTGGGTAACAGAGTGAGACCTTGTCTCCCCCCAGTTTTTTTTTTTAAAGGAAGTCTTCAGCCCAATGTCAATAGTGCCCAGGTTGAGAGGCTCTGGTCTAATTCAACCTTCCCCAGCCTCAATGGCAGCTCAGGGGATTACACCAAACTTACCCTTTAACGTGAATTCTTTCAGGGCCCCCAGTAAATGGAAACTTTATCTCCTTCTCATCTCAGAATCTACAACCTGGTGGCCAGTTTAGCAACATGTGATTCTTTTTTAACACCCCCCGTTTCTAAGAGGAAAATCAAAACAAAACCCTCCAAATAAATTGCGGGAAAAATAAAAGGATATTTCTGATGTTTTTCTAGGCTTTTCATCCTTTTTAAAACGGGGGCGAGGGGGAGGTCAAGTGGCAGCTGAGGAATAAAAACAAGTATTCAAAAGCATCAGCGACCCAAAGTCCGCAGAAAATCAAAACGAACCCAGCTCTCAGTGTGCGTAATTACGGGTACAATCAAGTAATGAAAGGTTTATTAGTTTAATGTGATTCCATCAAGTACCAAAAAGCGGGAAGGAGTGGGAGAAAGAAAGAAAATGGATATGAAAGAGGGGAGGGAGAGACATGAAAGAGGAATATGAGTGGGCAGAGATGGCGAAATTAAAATGCATCTTTATTTAAACTGCACGTCCTGGATGTTGAACCAGAGTTGGTCCAAGGCAGCTGCAGAGGAGCCAACCTGAGCGCCTTCTGCAAAACATATGCCTTTGCAGTCATCCAGTGGATGATTTTTTAAGACTATGCACTTGACCCTGTTTTGGGCTATGGGGACTCAGCGATGAATGAAATAGACAAAAATTCTCCTCTTCCCCACTCTACCCCCTGGAACTTACATTCAAGTGGGGAGAATAGACATTCAATGAATTAACAAGTCAAATGCACTGTATTATTACACAGAGAAATATAAAGCAGGGAAGCGGGATAGGAAGTGCCAGGGATGGGAGAAGCACTGGAATTTTAGAGCAGGTGGCCAAGCAAAGACTGGAATGGAAGGACATAAAGGAATGAGCCAAGGGCAGACGTGGGGGAAGAACATTGCCAGTAGAGGGCAAAGGAAGTGAACGTGTCCTGGGGTAGGACATGCCTGTGGAGAAATAGTGAGAAGGCCAGTGTGGTTGGACCAGAGCAAGGGGGAGGCAGCAGGAGATAAGGACAGACAGGTCATGGAAGCCAGATCCTGTAGAACCTTGGAGGGCACAGGAAGGTCTCTAGCTTTTATGTTGAGTGAGAAGGGAGCAAGGGGAGGGTTTTGAACAGAGGAGAGACACAGGATCACCCTAGCTGCTGAGCAAAGAGAGGGAAGCAGGGCTGAGACCAGGACAAGGCAAGTTAGGCATGTAAGGAGCAAAATTTTAGAAGGCACCCACTCTCAGGGCATGCAGTGATTCACTTGTCTCTCTCTATCCCAGCCCTGCAATGAAGGGTTATTTAGACCTTAAGGTAAAGACTCTGTGATGGACACAGACCATCCCCGTCAAGGAATGCCCTGTTAGCAGACAGCATACAGCTATCAGCCTCTCCAGGGATGGCTCAAGGTGCAGAAAGCCATACCCTTTCTCAGGGTGTGTTTTCATTTTTTATCTTTTTAAAATTTTAAGTTCTGGGATACATATACAGAACACGCAGGTTTGTTACATAGGTAAATGTGTGCCATGGTGGTTTGCTGCACCCATCAACCCATCACCTAGGTATTAAACCCTGCATGCATTAACTATCCTGATGCTCTCCCTTTGGGTGTGTTTTTAAATGTAGGCTTTATAGTTCTCATTATTATTATTATTCAGGTATGGCAAAGTCAAAAGATAGGAGGCCATTGAGTATTAAAAAGATACTTTGTTACTCACAGATCCCCAGTGTGGGAGCTTGTCATGCCAGCAGTGGCCACAGGGGAGCAGCACCAGGGATGTTCAGGAGGCAGAGGGAATGGGTGAAAAAGTAGGCAAGATCCTTGATTGCGGTTTCTGAAGGAAGAAACAGGTGAGGCAGGGTAAGCAGGCTTGGAATTGGCTCATTAGAATAACTTCAGTAGGTTCTGGGGCATAGCACTGTCCCTAGCTGTCTGGTACCTGGCCCTGTAGTGATTAGGGTAGGTGGATAGTGGCCCATAGTGTGAGAGCCAATAAAGGAGGTGGTGGGGCCTGTGGGCTTTGGGCTGGTTGGTTTGCATATGAAAGCTGCACTTGAAGTCCACTCATTTACTCTATGAAGGAATTGACTGGCTTTAGGAGAGGCAGTCTCTCCAGAGTCAGCAAGGGTCCCAGGTGTGAAAATATGAGAATGAAAAGGCATGCTTAATACACAGTGGCCCACATCCAACGACCAATGCATGTAGGAGTATAGAGGCCTGGCCCTCCCAGCCCACATGGGACAAACCCAAAGGAGCCACTTCAGCTCCAGAGCTCCCCATGGGGTCATTGGGCCGAGGCTGCCATTGAACCCTCATCACAACTCGACTTCCCCATCTGCCTATTCCTGCTTCTTCTTTCCCTGAACTTCCACAGGCATAGATCCCCATGGCACTCCACAATAAATACCCTACAACCTAAACTCTGTCCCAGAGTCTGTCTGCTTCCTGGAAAACCCAGCCTAGGACAACATGAGAGAAAAAAAAATGTGAAATATGTCCCCAAAACATCAGTGGGCAGATGGCGAGATGGCCAGAGAAGACAGTCATGGGGTGAATTCCCAGCTCCATCCAGCCTGGCCCACTCCCTGGGGTCTCTCTCCTTGGTGACAATTCTGGGTCTTTCTCTCTCGCTCTCTCCTGCCATCTCTCTCTCCCTTTTTAAATTGTAAAGTATAACACATATACAGAAAAAATGTACAAGTCACACAGATATAGATCAGTAAATTATTACAAAGCGAACACCCAGGTCAAGAAAGAGAACATCAACTGCAACCCCCAAACACTCCACCATTCCACCTCCAACCAAAGGTAACCTTTTGTCTCTCCTGAGTTTTAACACCCTTATTTAGTTTGGCTTCTTTTGGAATTTTATACATTTGACCATAATGTCTATAGAGCACATATTCTTTGAGCTTGCTTCTCTCCCTCAAAATATATACAAAATGTGTATATGTGTGTTGTGTGCGTGAAATGTATCCATGTCACTGCAAGTAATTGTATTTGATTCATTTTTCATTGCTGTATAATATTCTATGATGGAACCATGGTATCCCATTTTTCATTCTACTTTAATGGACATTGGGGTCAACAGGCATGTGGCAAAAGGGTTTCTCTAAACAGCCCGTAAACACTGGAAAAGAATGCTCAACATCATTGGTTACCAGGAAAATATCACTTCAAACCAAATTCCTACCCACCAAATTCTGGTGGCTACTATCTACCCACCAGAAGGGCTAAAATTAAAAAGTCAGATAATACCAAATGTTGGTAAGGATGTAGTGCATTTGTGTTCATCTTTCACCAAGCCAAGCTGTGTGGTAACCAGGTTGCTAGGTGTGAAGTCAACCGTGTTCATTACAACCAAAGGAAGCCAAGGGCAGCAGCAATTGCTTAGAGACTTCAAATAATCAAATTGCATTTTCATACAAACAAAGACACCAGGCAAATCCACTAGCCCTTCATTCTACCTTCTCAGCATCTCACCCAGCTTTCCCATTTAAAACAATAAACTCAAGCACAGTTGAATAAAGACATATATTTTGGCCTGAGCACCAAATCAAAGGGGTATGGGATGAATGTGCTGTCTCAGCCGCAGATGCACACCTGAACCCTGAGTCTGGAGGCCAGGTGGGTGCACACCTGAACCCTGAGTCTGGAGGCCAGGTGGGTGCACGCCTGAACCCTGAGTCTGGAGGCCAGGTGGGTGTGCACCTGAACCCTGAGTCTGGAGACCAGGTGGGTGCACGCCTGAACCCTGAATCTACCAGGTGGGTGCACCCCTGAACCCTGATTCTGGAGGCCAGGTGGGTATATGAATCGTCACATCTCCTTGACATATCACCTGAATCAGAACCACATAAAGTCTTGTCCAGGTCTAACTGTTCTATTAGACATCCAAGTGGCTTTCCAAAAATAAAAATAGCCTAAGAATTTACAGTGACACATGTTGAAATCCAAAAACCTAAAAGCCTACTGATGACGGCACTCCAGGTGGCTTGGAAATGGGTTTTTTTTTTTTTCCTTATTTTAATCTAAATCATGTTCCCAGACAGTGCCGAGACTGGTATAAATTCTCTTCTGCACTAATCTTTTATATACTTTTATGCTTGTCTGAGATGATTGAACATGACTCATTCATAGTTCTGTTTTCAACCACTGCTGGTCTCTTCCAGTCAGCCACATCTGTTTTTTTGCAGTTAAAGTCTCCTTTTGTCTATCACTTAATTCTGCAGTGTTCTTAGGAGAAAGGGAGTCCACAGCAAGGACTGGTCACATGCCAGCAACTGCCACACACAATAGTGGATCCCAGACCATCTGCTCTATTTATTGATGGTGATATGAAATGGGATGTCAGCTGAATGAGAACTGCCAGCTCCGCGGTGTAGACTGGTGGTTTTCAACTGTTTGTTTTTGTTGCAAACTCTTTCTTTCAAACAAAATTTAAATAAAACTTGTAAAAGGATTCCTGTTATGGAGTGGGGGAGGGATACACTCTCCCCTTTCCTCTCCAGAGAACTCCCAGAGTATCTTCTCTGAAACTGCAGTGCTCCAGGAACATGCTTGACACCACCAGTGTAGACTAAGTTCATGGTATAGTAGCGGTTAACACAGGTTATCTCTAGGTGATTTTTATTTTCTTCTGCTTTTTCTGTATTTTAACTTATTTATGATGAACATGTATAACTCTGTAATCATAAAATAGATGGAATGTCTTACAGAATACTTGTATGATATTTTTTAAACACATTCTACAAAGCATCAAGCTAGTTTCTGGATATTGGCTGATAATCATTTGTGCTAATGTGTTCTGGGCACCATTCTCGGCATTGAAGATGCAGTAGTGAGCAAGACAGATAGCAGCTGGCCTCAATGACCTGACATTTTAATGGTGGGAAGACAGGCATAGCAGTGTCCTGCCTACATGGCTCTGCAGGGACTCGCTTGGGGATTTGTGCTTTCCATCCCTGTAATCTGGAGTTCTGTAGGTCTAGCAGCTCTAGTACTCAGAGGGAAGAGGCTTCTCCAGAGGACAAAGTAATAATCCCACTATACTCAAATGGTAGCTGGCCCCCCGTGTCAGTTGGCCAGAAGGCAAAAAAAAAAAAAAAAAAAAAAAAAAAAAGTAATCACTATGCTGGTGAAGGCAATTGATCATAATCATCATGAAGAAGCCAGCCTGCAGCCACATGATGGAGCCAGAGAGGTCCATGTATGGTGCTCAGCTGGTTCACTGAGCATCTCTTGCTATTCTCATGCCTAGAAGTAACTGTAAATGGGCAATGCAGCCTGATCAGGACATGCAACCATGGCTCAGACCCCTCTCAGATGAGGGTCTGGGCCACTAGGTCAGCCACTTAGACCAGCAAAAGGAGAGAGGAGTCTAGAATGACTGTTGGAGAAAGGAGATGATGAGTACAAGTGATGACCCTGGGCTAACTGCAGCAGTAGGGCCTCTAGTTCATGCCTTTCTCACGTAAGCTTCTTCCACAATTGTGGCCAACCAGAATCCTGGAGAAACCATGCCTGGATAAAGTGAACTTAAGTGAGAAGCAAATGGGTGGACTGCAGCAGATGCAGGTGGTGCCCCACAGAGACCCTCCTTACTGGAAGGTGCCCTTGTCCCCCATCTGCACTGTTGTTGGCTGATAACTCATAGTTGTCATGCTCAGGCAAATCAGAGACACCTCTCCTAGAAGGCTAACCTACCCTCCCCTTCTGAGAGACTAAATAAATGGCATGGAGTACAAAAGCCCAGCCCCCACGCCTCAAAGGAGAACCAGCTCCATGGTGCGATTTATGTTTTGGAGCTCCCCATGGGATCGGACTGAAGTTGTCTCCTATCACGTTTTTTTGGATACTTTGTATTACTTAAATTGACAAAATTTGCATATAAAATACAGATAAGAAATATAAAATTCCATGAGTTTTGACAAATATCTGCCAGTAATACCACCCCCATCAAAAATATTTCTATCACCATCTCCTGCCCACTTCCAATACATCCCAACCTTTTTCATAGCCATTTTTTTTCCGATTTTTAATCAACATAGATTTACTTTATTCTTGAACTTCATATACATGGAATCATGCAATATGAACACTCTTGCATGTATCTTCTTTTATCCAATGTAATATCTTTGAGATTAAGATATGCTATGTGTATCAGTAATTCATCTTTTATCATACATATTTTACTGCCAGAAGCAAGTCATCTGCTATTGCTAAGTAGTATTCAATTGTATAAATATTCAACAATTTATTTTTCTGAGACAGGGTCCCGCTCTGTCACCCAGGCTGGAGTGCAGTGGTATGATCATGGCTCACTACAGTCTTGACATCCAGTGCTCAAGCAGTTCTCCTGCCTCAGCCTTCCAAGTAGCTGGAACCACAGGCGCACACACCACCACACCTGGCTACTTTTTTGTGTGTGTATAGACAGGGATTTCACCATGTTGCCCAGGCCGGTCTCGAACTTTTGTGCTCAAGCAATCTTCCTGCCTCAGCCTTCCAAACTGCTGGGATTACAGGCATGAGCTATTGTGCCCAGCTGTCCTATCTTCCACTGATGAAAATTCAGGTTTATTCCAATTTATAGCCATTATGCTATCAAAATTCTTGCACATGATTTTTGTGAATATATACTTTTATTTCTCCTTGGTAGATAAGTAGGAATGGAATGACTAGGTCATAAGGTGGATGTGTAACTTACAAGAAACGTTCAGTTTTCCAAAGCGGATGTACCATTTTACACCAACAATGTGAGAGTTAAGAGTTGTTCGACATCCTCGTCAACACTTGGTGTTATTAGATTTTGAATTTTACCCATTCTAGTGAATGTGAAACGATATCTCACTGTGGTTTCAACTTGCATTTCCCTAATGGTTAATAATATTGAGTGCTTTTCCACGTGCTTACAGACCATTCATGTATCTTTTCTTCTAAAGTGTCTCCAAGTCTTTCTCCCATTTATCTTTTTATCAATTTGTGTAGGGTTTTAAATATATTTTAGATACAATTCCATGACAGATACATGTGTTAAGAGTAATTTCTCCTAGACTGTGCCTCGTCTTTTCATTCTTATTGGGGTCCTTTAATGAAAAAGAACTTTTAATTTTGATGAAGTGCAATTCATCTATTCTCATTTTTGATCAGTGAATTTTGTGACTTTCCTAAGAAATATTTTGCCTTCTCTAGGGTGACTTAGATAGTCTCCAATGTTTTTCTTCTAGAATTTTTGTAATTTAGCTTTCATATTTAGGCATACAGCCCTTCTCAAATTAATTTTTGTGTGTAATACAAGGTAGGTGTGGAGAATTATTTTCAAATATTTGTTGAGTCATTCCAGTGCCACTGGCGGAAAAGGCTTTCCTTTTCCAATGGTGTTGGGGCATTTGTTGAAAGTTATGTGAGTATGATTCTATTTCTGGATTCTGCTCCATTGGTCTATTTGCTTATCCTTGAGATTGTATTCTTGTTCTTGCTTGGCTTTTTTCCCTGTCTTATCCTGTCTCCCTCACTGCTCCCCCGACCCCGAAAGAACCACCTTAATAAATCACTTGAATTACATTCCCATTTCAGGCTGTTTTCAGGGAACTGGATCTAAGACAACAGACAACAGACATGCAAGTTAATAGTTAAATGAGATACTTTTGGGTGCTAATTAGTGTTAGGAATAAGATGAAACATGGTGATACTGTGAAAAGTAACTAGCTTGCAGGGAGTAGAGTTCAAAAAAGGCCTCTCTGAGGAGGTGGCATTGAAGTCAAGTTCTGAGTTTTGGCAATATATTTGGGTGGTTGAGGTGCAGCAATACAGCCATCATTAGAGCCAAGAAGTTCTAGGAACAGACATTAGGGTGTTGGGTGGTTCGTCAATGTCATGCTGAAGCCACTGAGCATGATAGTAAAAGTGATGGTGGAAAGGGAGCCAGAGAACTAGATGCTAACCCAGGCAGGAGTCTATTCAAAAGCTCTTTAAATTAGCTAGGATTTTTTTTTTTCCTTTTAGAGATAGGGTCTCGCTCTGTCGCCCAGTCTGGAGTGCAGTGGTACAAACATAGTTCACTGCAGGCTCAAACTCCCGGGCTCAAGCCATCCCCTTAGCTGGGGATTTTGGAGGAGGACGGAGTAAAGAGGATTTCCAAGTATCCATGGGAAACATGAAGGACACCTACCTAATCTCCAGGTGCTGAGTCCTGGGGAGTCGGGAGGAAACCACAGCCTTGACACAGAGGCTATAGTGAAACCAGTTTTCATTTGGAGCAAGAATTTGAGGGGATGTTCCAGAGAAGATATTTAGGGTGTAGAGAAGTGTGCAGATCATGGGTCATATGCTCCAAAGGGCACAGTAGAGGGGCCCATGTGCAGAAAGATGTAGGAGAGGGAGTCATATTCGGGATGTGGGGAGGTGGGTGGGAAGGAGAATCCTGTGATGGGGACATTGGGGTCTTGGACTTCTAGGTGTGTCGGTAATGAATAGGATTGATCCTGAAAATAAAGCATGAGGTATTTGAAGATTTCATGGGCATCTACTGAAGACATAATGGCAGCCAGCAGTGTCCAGTCATTAAAGACATCAGGAAGGCTGGACAGGACCAATATCCTTCATATCAATGTTTCTTAAACATCAGTAGACCACATACAACCATCAGGATTTTTGACATACTTGCAAATCACTGTATATTTACATAGTAATTTGCTTTCATTTAAAACTTAAAAATTACTAAGAAAAAAAGAATATCCTTAAAATCTTAATTTGATGTGCTGACTATATTTTTGAATACTCATTAAAATAATTTGATTGAAATAAAAATTAGATACGCTAATATGATCCTGAGTATCTGACCACATTTGGTGAAATATTATTACACTATGTCAGAGTCACAGTCATATTCTATAGGTCACTCCTGGTAGATACTAAAGTCATTGATTAGACTGCAGATGTCATAGTGAGTCAACAAGGAACCTAAAGTTGAGGGAGGGGTAGAGGGAAGAAAACCATTATTATACATTGTGATAAGTGTTATGAGGGTGGTGGAGGGCATGAAAGGAACCCACAATGGAAAGAGAAAGCCCTCGAGTTTAGAAAAGTGCAGGTGAAAAGTGTATCTATTAAGGTTGCTTTCTGGCAGGTCCGACTTGGCTTTGACCAATGGTTCTCAAGTTGAAGCATGTGGCAGAATCACCTGGAAGACCTGTTAGAACAGATTGCTGGGAGAACTTGTTAAAACACAGATTTCTAAAATTTATTGATGACATGCCTAGATGTGGGTCTTTTGTCATTCATCATGCTAGGTACTAGAAAGATCCTTTAAAGTCAACATTAATGTTTTTATTTTTTTATTTTCTTGTATTATTTCTTTATAACTTGCAACTCTTTTTCCTTTTTCTTGCTGGATTTTTTTTAATTTCCATAGGTTTTTGGGGAACAGGTGGTATTTCATTACATAAGTTCTTTAGTGATTTGTGTGATTTGGGTGATTCTGTACCCCCACTATACACTGAACCCTATTTGTAGTGTCTTTTATCCCTCACCCCCTCCGGCCCTTTCCCCCAAGTCCCCAAAGTTCATTGTGCCATTCTTATGCCTTTGCAGCCTCATAGTTTAGCTCCCACTTATGAGTGAGAACATCTGTTTGGTTTTCTATTCCTGAGTTACTTCACTTAGAATAATAGTCTCCAATTCCATCCAAATTGCTGCAAATGCCATTAATTCATTCTGTTTTTATGGCTGAGTAGTATTCCATTTATATATATGCCACAGTTTCTTTATCCACGTTGATTGATGGGCATTTGGGTTGGTGCCACATTTTTGCAATTGCGAATTGTGCTGCTATAAACATGCATGTCAAGTACCTTTTTCATATGACTTCTTCTGAACTTAATCAGATGTTGAACTGCCTGGATTAATTAATATTGTTTCACTTTTACTTTTTATCCCTTCATATTTAACTTCTACTTCTAGGACTTTTTCTCAACTTTCTCTTCCAATTCCTCTATTGAGTGTTTTCTTCTTGATGTATTGATACATGTATGTATTTTTGAGAGCGCTTAGTTATTCTGAGTGCTCTTTTTATGGCATCCAGTTCTTGTTTCATGATTTTAAAGATACTAATTCTGATGTTTATAGAAACGTTTTTCTACCTTCTGAATTGTCTATGTATCCTCTGAGTTCCACTTTCCTTCTGATTTGTTAGATTTGACCTCTGCATGTCATTTGTTATATGAGGCACTAAAAACTGATTGAAGGTTCCGTCTGTTTAGGTGGAGCTTTCAACTTGTGGGCTTCGTGGGAGGGCAATAAGGTGGCAAGCTAGCTCCTTCCTCGAGGGACACCCAGAAAGCATTTTCTGTGGGTGTTGTAGCTGGGATGCTCAGTCGTCCCAGAGAGGACCTCTGGCTACTGGTTGGAGGCCAAGTGAGGGAAGTGAACAGGGGCCTTTCTGTTCACCATGCAGATTTTCACTGGATCTTCCTGTTGTCAGTTCCATGTCTCTCCCCATCCTCAAGGTACAAACCTCCACATTTTAGCTAAAGTAAAGGGAAAGCAGTCCCCTGCATTTGCAGTGTTGGAAAGGGGATCTGAGAGCCCAGCTCCCCTTACGTATCTTTTCATCTATTTTCAGCCCATCTCTCATTCCCAAACTCAGCAGTATCTGGTGTCTCCAAATTTTGAGCTTCTCTGAAAAGCTAAGAGTACAAATCTGTTTGCTCATGGTTGACTTTTTTACCCATCCCTCCTGCATCAGTTATCTGCTGCTACACAATAAATTTCCCCAAAACCTGATGGCTTAAACACCTTCTATTTTACAGTTGCTTGACTCTGACTCATGGTTTCTATAGGTCAGGAGATTGGACACAGCTTATCCAAGTCCTCTGACTCCTGGTCTCTCACAGGCTGTAATCTAACATATCTGCTGGGATGCAGTCTCGTTTCAAAGATCAACGGGGGAAGAAACCACTTCCAACCTTGCACACATGGCTGTTGGCAGGATTCAGTTCCTCATGAGCTACCTGATTCAGAACCTCAGTTGCTCAGTAGCTAGAGGCCACCCTCAGTTTCTCCCAGCCGGGGTTTCTCTTTAGGGCATCTCACAACATTGCAGCAAGGAAATAGGAGAGCTAGAGAGTACAGCACTGCGGGATGACCATAGTTAGCAATAACATCTGAAATCGTTTCAAATAGCTAGAAGGAATATATTGATATTCCCAAAACAAAGAAATAATACATGTTTGAGATGGATATGCTAATTACCTGATCAGTTCACTACATATTGTAGGTATGGAAACATCACTATGTACCCCATGAACATAAAGTTATTATATGTCACTTAAAAATAACTATAAACCAAAAGACAAAGAGAGGGATACAGAAAGGCCACCCAAGATGAGAATCACAGTCTGTGAAATCTAATGTCTTCTATTTTCTTTGAACTTATAGGTTTGTGCTCTTGAAGATTTATTTACTGTCATTTTTAGTGAGCTTCCAGTAGGATCTGAGATATGTAAGTTTTCAATTAACCAAGGTAATGATGTTGACTGTTCATAGAATTACTTACGAAGCCATACAAACAAGTCTTTACAAACCTCTAAGATGGAAAGTGATTTGTAGAGAGAGGAAGATGGACACACTACATATCACCATCTATCACTGCTTTGGCCACTGTGGTCCACCAGCTGTTGTCATTTCACAGTGAAGATTTTTGTGTGTCCAGAGCAAAATGGGAACAATGAGGGGAAGAAATTTGATTTTTGTTTTTTTGTTTTGAAACAGGATCTTGATCTGTGGCCCAGGCTGGAGCGCACTGGGTGAAATGCAACATTCACTGCAGCGTCCACCTCCTGGGCTCAAGCGATCCTCCCACCTCAGCCCCCTGAATAGCTGGATTACAGGCACGTGCCACCATGCCCAGCTAATTTTTGTATTTTTTGTAGAGAAGTGGTTTCACCATGTTGCCCAGGCTGGTCTCGAATTCCTGGGCTCAGGCAATCCACCCACCTTGGCATCACAAGGTGCTGGGACTACAGAGGTGAACCACCATACCCAGCCAAAAAAAAGTTTGTTTTTAAGTAAAGCTAAACATGTTCATGACCCTATATTCTGAAAATGTCTTTCCAAGTCTTTTGGTGTTAACAAATGTGTTTTTAAAAAAATGAACAGATGATTTTACATGGCAAGGATTTTTTATTTTTTAGTTTCTGTCAAAACAAAGTTGACAACCTTATGTTAGACCCTCTAATTTTTTAAAAATTACTCTGGTGTATAGGATACCAAAGTCTGGAAACTATTGTACTCAAGTATTGTAGCAGTGCTGTCAAACGGGTTTCACCTCCCTTGCCCACATCCCGGACCACTATGCCGAGTGGGATTCTGAGGCCCTGTGTGATCTTACAGGGAAGCCTGCTCACAAAAAAATGCCCTAAGGATACCAGAGAGAGAATGTGGTGGCTGGGACAAACACCCACTCACTGCAGAAAACAACTCATTGTAAGGACCACAGAGATGGCATCGAAGACAGAAGCGATCATCTTATTATAAAGTAGATGCTGCTTATTGCAAAAATGTGGAACCAGCCCAAATGCCCAATCCACAAGTGGATAAAGAAACTGTGGTGTGTGTGTATATGTATGTGTATGTGTGTGTGTGTGTGTATTTTAGTTTCTGTCAAACAAAGTTGACAACCTTCTGTTAAACCCTCTAATTTTTAAAAAATTACTCTGGTGTATAAGATACCAAAGTCTGGAAACTATTGTACTAAAGTATTGGAGCAGTGCTGTCAAATGGGTTTCTCCTCCCTTGCTCACATCCCGGACCACTGTGCCGAGTGGCATACATATATATGATGGAATACTACTCAGCCATAAAAAGAAATGAATTAATGGCATTCACAGCAACCTGGATGGAATTGGAGACTTATTCTAAGTGAAGTAACTCAGGAATGAAAAACTAAACATTGTATGTTCTCACTTATAAGTGGGAGCTAAGCTATGAGGATGCAAAGGCATAACAATGATACAATGGGCCGAGCACAGTGACTCACACCTGTAATCCCAGCACTTTGGGAGGCTGCGGCAGGTGGATCATCTGAAGTCAGGAGTTCGAGACTAGCCTGGCCAACATGGTGAAATCCTGTCTACTAAAAATACAAAAATTAACTGGGTGTGGCGGTGGGCACCTGTAATCCCAGCTACTTCGGGAGGCTGAAGAAGGAGGCTTGCTTGAACCCAGGAGGCAGAGGTTGCAGTGAGCCGAGATGGCACCATTGCACTCCAGCCTGGATGACAGAGTGAGATTCCATCTCAAAAACAAAAAAAAAAAAAAAAAAGAATGATACAACGGGGCCAGGCGCAGTGGCTCACACCTGTAATCCCAGCACTTTGGGAGGTGGGAGCAGGTGGATCACTTGAGGTCAGGAGTTCGAGACCAGCCTGGCTAATATGGTGAAACCACATCTCTACTAAAATTACAAAAATTAGGCGGGCATGGTGGCATGCACCTGTAATCCCAGGTACTCGGCAGGCTGAGACACAAGAACCACTTGAACTCAGGAGACAGAGGTTGCATTGAGCAGAGATGGCACCACTGCACTCCAGCCTGGGTGACAGAGTGAGACTCCATCTCAAAAAAAAAGAAAGATACAATGGACTCTGGGGACTCAGAAGGAAAGGGTGGGAAGGGGGTGAGGGATAAGACTACAAATTGGGTTCAGTGTATACTGCTCTGGTGATGGGTGCATGAAAATCTCACAAATCACCACAAAGAAACTACTCATATAACCAAATACCACCTGTTCCCCAAAAACCTATGGAAACAAACAAAAAAAAAAAACACCCAAGTTCTCCTAAAAAATGACAGCATCCATCAAAAAATAAAAATAAAGTAGATCCCGCTTGTCCATAGGAACAATGGTATAACTGGTGGACCTGGCCAATGACGAGGTGAGACTGAAGCAAAGCCAAAACATAACAGGTAGCAGCACTATGCATATAACAATTATAAAATGTGAATAGCGGCCAGGCACAGTGGCTCACACCTGTATTCTCAGCACTTTGGGAAGCCAAGGCGGGTGGATCACCTGAGGTCAGGAGTTCGAGACCAACCTGGCCAACATGGTGAAACCCCCATCTCTACTAAAATTACAAAAATTACCCAGGCGTAGTGGCGGGTGCCTATAACCCTAGCTACTCAGGAGGCTGAAGCAGGAGAATCACCTGAACCCAGGAAGTGGAGGCTGCAGTGGGCAGAGATCACGCCACTGCACTCCAGCCTGGACAACAGAACGAGACTCCATCTCAAAATAAATAAATAGGCTGGGTGTGGTGGCTTATGCCTGTAATCCCAGCACTTTGGGAAGCCGAGGCGGGCAGATCACCTGAGGTCGGGAGTTTGAGACCAGCCTGACCAACATGGAGAAACCCCATCTCTACTAAAAAATACAAAAATTAGCCAGGCATGGTGGTGCATGCCTGTAATCCCAGTTACTCGGAGGCTGAGGCAGGAGAATCGCTTGAACCCGGGAGGCGGAGGTTGCAGTGAGCCGAGATCGTGCCACTGCACTCCAGCCTGGGCAACAAGAGCGAAACTCTGTCTCAAAATAAATAAATAAATAAAAATAAAAATAAATAAATAAATAAAAGTAAAATAAAATGTAAATAGCATCTAAGATATCCCCCTTGCACCAAGAACCAAGTTCTGCCCTGTTGGGGTGATACGGCCAGCCCCCCTCATGAGAGTGTACACGCATGGGCTAGACAAGGTCAGGAATGATTTGCAAGGAAATGGCTACAGCGATTCTCCTCCTTCAGGGGGTGCTACTGATGACTGGGGAACCAGAGAGGGAGGGAGACTCACTTTTAACTGTTATCCTCTTTGAATCCTTTAAGCCATCTGTGTGTCTTGCCTATTCAAAAATACATTTCAAAAACATAAAACCACCATTCACTACCATTTCATAAGAGAGAGAAGGCACTGGCCAATCCCCAGAGGGAAAGAAAGAAGGACACCACATCAGAATAAAAGATATTCTTCCCCATAGAGGAGAGGTGGCAGCTTTACACTGGATCAGAAACGAAGTGTACAGTTACAGTTTCCTTTTTTTCCCAAATGCAAGAAAAGTGACTTTTATTTTGCTGTATTACATCGCATGTAACTGTCAAGAGAGAAGTGTTGTTTGTGGAGGACTCTAAGGCAGTATAGCTTGAAGAAAATCCCATCCAATTTATTCTGGCCAAAGACTTTCATCATATCATTGTCTGAAAACCCACTTTCCCTGACGAATGTGGGAACCACTGGAATTAACACTCTCATTGATCTTTCACTGAGTCTTAACTATTCTGGGAAAAGCTGTAAGAATTCAGGAATCAAGCCTGTAAATCTCTGGTTACCTCCCCTGCCCTCTCCCTGCGGGGCCAGGACAAAACAGTGGCTACAGGTTCCAGCCAGCAAGTGTTACAATGAAGACATATTTCTTGGATTAATCTATTGAAAACAAAACAAAGCCAGACCAATCTCTAACCTACCACCTGCCCCTTTAAAGGTCTATTACGGTCCCAAAACAGCCATGTGAAGTAGCTACCGCATCATCCACTTGACAAAGGAGAAAACGGAAGCTCAGAGTAGTTAAATGACTTACCCAGGAACACACAGCACTTAAGGAGCAAAGACAAGGGTCAAGCCCAGCTCAGCCCGACGACCAGCCTTCCTCACTTGGAACCTGGCATACACTTGGTAGGTGCTCACTTAGTGTTGGTTCTTGTCTCCCATGTTTACTCCCACTGGGTCCTGCCAGGAGTATGGTAGCCAATGGAAGGTGAGACGGCCAAGACTCAGGCCTGAAACTGTCCTTGTGTTTGGGGTTGGGAGGGGGATGTGCACTGGCCAGTCTTTGGACTTGGTGCTGCAGACAGCCCCACGCCTAGCTGGGTTTCTCCAGAAACACAGACCCTTTGTCAGGGCCCCATGGTCCGAGCACAAGTGAAACTCACCCTAAGAAATGACTGAGGGACATCAGGCCCCACGGCTTCGATGAGCAGGAACGGTGTTTTGTTTTGTTTTGTTTTGTTTTGTTTTGTTTTGTTTGACACAGTCTCGCTCGGTCACCCAAGCAGGAGTACAGTGGCACCATCTCCGCTCACTACAACCTCCATGTCTCGGGCTCAAGCAATTCTCCTGCCTCAGCTTCCCGAGTAGCTGGGATTACTGGGATTACAGACTTGGGCCACATCTAGTACTTTTTTTTTTTTTTTTTTGTATTTTTAGTGGAGGCAGGGTCTTGCCATGTGGGCCAGGCTGGTCTTAAACTTCTGGCCTCAAGTGATCTGCCCGCCTCGACCTCCCAAAGTGCTGGGATTACAGGTGTGAGCCACCACATGCAGCTGGGAAGGGTCTTTTAATAAATGTATGCAGTCAAAACCTAATTCACCCAGGCTCTGACTACCTCTCCTCCTATCCCACCCCAAGCCTGGAAACCCTTTCTTACATATTAACACGTAGCCTCTAAGCTGAGAGATTAAAGAAGAGGCGGCCTTCTTATCTCAGGTTGGAGATTTAGAGCGGCCTTCCTGGTAGAACTGTAACAAGATCCCTTCATGGGAAGAACTAATCACCGTGAAAGCTTTTGACGGTAGAGGGGATGTGAAGAGCAGAGAGAGAGAGCTGCAACCAGCCAGGCTCTTTTTCCACAGTGTCCCACACAAGGGAACACCTTCACCTGCTGGATCCTGTGGTGCTCAGCCTGACCTTAGCTGCAAAGCAAGGGGCTGCAGGTGAGGAAGGGCAAAAGATGGCCAGATCCATCTCACAGATAAGGTCCATCAAGTCTCAGAGGGGCAACATATGAGATGGCACTCCTAAAAGAAATGCCTAGGGCCAGGCGCGGTGGCTCATGCCTGTAATCCCAGCACTTTGGGAGGCCAGGCTGGGCAGATCACCTCAGGTCAGGAGTTCAAGACCAGCCTGGTCAAGATGGAGAAACCCCATCTCTACTAAAAACACAAAAAAATTAGTCAGGCTTGGTGGTGCGTGCCTGTAGTCCCAGCTACTCTGGAGGCTGAAGCAGGAGAATCACTTAGACCCAGTAGGCAAAAGTTGCAGTGAGCCAAGATTGCACCACTGCACTCTAGCCTGGGTGACAGCAACACTCTGTCTCACAAAAGAAAAAAGAAATGCCAGGCGCGGTGGCTCACACCTGTAATCCCAGCACTTTGGGAGGCCAAGGTGGGTGGATCATGAGGTCAGGAGATCAAGACCATCCTGGCTAACATGATGAAACCCCGTCTCTATAAAAATACAAAAAATTAGCCAGGCGTGGTGGCAGACGCCTATAGTCCCAGCTACTCGGGAGGCTGAGGCAGAAGAATGGCATGAACCCGGGAGGCGGAGCTTGCAGTGAGCCGAGATCGCGCCACCGTACTCCAGCCTGGGTGACAGAGCAAGACTCCATCTCAAAAAAATAATAAAAATAAAAATAAATAAATAGAAATGCCCAGATATCCCATAAGCCACCAGGGCTGTAGACATCTTGCAGACGAGTAGGGTCCTCTTGCAATTGTAATAACCAGCTTGGCTGGACTGAAAGGTGATCTTGCAGTGTGCTGGGACTGATGGTTAAATAGGAGTTTTGGGAATTGGTTACTGAACTGTTGGTACCCTGAAGTCAGTCATGGTGAGGGTATTACAGCATGGAAATCAGCACACATAAAATTCAGAATTGTTTGTTTTGGGTTTGTCTCCCCAGAGAACTAGCTTACCAACACACCACTACATGAGAAGGTAAAAGTACTTCAGACTGAAGCCAGAAAGCCTTGGGTTCACATCCTGGTTCTTCCTCAGTAAGCCTGTGACCTTGGCAAGATATTTAACCCTGTGGGCCTCAGTTTCTTTATCTGTAAAGTGGGGCTGATACTAGTGACTGTGTCAAAGGGCATGTGAGGACTAAATAGGATGTGTGACATGGTTAGCATGGGCCTCGCTGGTACTGAATCCATGTTAGCCATCACTGCAATTAAAATAGTAATCATCTGTTCATCAATTTCCTTCTCACAGACATTTCTTTTTACTGTCCAGAATGTAGGCAAATTTTCTCTTTGGAATCCCACTTCCCTGCCTATATGATATTAAGGCAGAACAAGAGAACCTAAAAAAATGTGAACATTAGGCCCAAAAGTCCCAGAATGAGGTCCCAGCATCTCCGTCACTTACTAGTGGCAGAATCTTGAGCAAGTCAAGAGTCCTCTGAACCCTCTACCTGTAAGGCTGCCAGAAGGATTCAATGAGATACAGGTTTGCAAAGCACACAGCACCATTGCCCAGAGCAGGTGCTTGCTAAGTGGCATCACATATGATGATATTGACATGAGGAATCATTTTCATGGCTCCCCTGCTACCAGATTATGAGTTCTGCAAAGGCAAGCTCTGTGCCTAACACATAGTAAGTGCTCAATAAATTCTCATTGAGGGAAATCAGTCCCCCAGAATTAACAGCTGTCCTGCCCACCTCCACTCTCCAAAGAGGCCATCAGCTTCATCTAAGCAGCTGTGCTGCTGTGGGATGGGTTTTGCGTTTAAAAGGAGCCAGAAGAATTGGCATCCATCTAGGCAGTGCCTTCAGAAGCCTATGACATCACAAGACAGAAGTCACCTAAGTCTACTCAGGCAGCCATTAACAAAGTACCATACACCAAGTGGCTTAAACTACAGACATTTATTTTCTCACAGTTCTGGAGGCTGGAAGTCCAAGATCAAGGTGTCTGCAGGGTCAGTCTCTGGTGAGGGCTCTCTTCCTGGCTTGCAGATGGCCGTCTTCTTGTGGCCTATTTTCAGTGCATATGCAGAGAGAGATCTCTTCCTGTTCTTAAAATCCCCTACTCTCATGAGTTCATCTAACCCTAATCACCTCCCAAAAGCTCCATCTCTAAAGCCACCACATTAAGGGTAAAGTCCAACATACTCAACCTATGAACTAGGGGTGGGTGCAATTCAGTCCATGGTGCCAGCTTTCTAATCAGTAACTCTTACAAGTAAGCAGTACATTGGGACCAGCTGCTCTGGTTTCTAGTTATAATCCCCAGTCCCCAAAAAGCTACACACTATCTCATCTCCATGCATTTGCCCAAGCCCTTCCTTCCTTCCTTTCTCTTGTGAAAACTTCTCTTCCCTTCCCCACGTATGGGAGTCCTGCCCATCCTTCAAGACTCAACTCAGGTATCTCCACCCCAGGGAAGTTTCCCTTAAAGAGGAAGGAGCTTCCCCTCTGGTTAGGGACATGCTGACTGTGTGCATGGCTACGTCCTCTGCTCCAGGTTAAGACACAGGCTCTAGCTGCATATGCCTCAGTCCAAATCCACTCTGGGTGACTCTGAACAAATCATATGTCCTCACAGAGCCTTGATTTCTTGAAAGACTTCCCAGAGCTATTGCAGGCATTAAACAACAGCAAACAAAAGGATGTAAAGCCCAGTGTCTGGCCTCAGCAAGCCCTTGACAAACAGTAGCTGGTATTTTTACTAAGGATAAGGCCCATTTCTCCACCTCCACCCCACCACACACACACACAGAACATTTAAAAGAGACCTTTGAGTTCAGCATACACTTACTGGTGAATGGCTGGTGACAGAAGAAAGCAGAGGGTGAATCACAGGGGGTGACCTGTCAGTAGGTGTGACAGTTCTCAAAGACACCTATGGAGCACCTACCACATGCAAGAAAAGCACATCAGGGGATGAGGGTGATGAAGAGATGAGCCAGGGTGTTTGAGATGTGAGGGAGACCGATTCATAATGGAAATGAGGCTCCGTCTGCTGCAGGAAACAAAAAACAATCTCTCAACCACCAAATTACAAACATTCCCTGAGTCTTAGCTTCCTCATCTGTAAAAATGAGGATACAAACAGCTTCCATGGGATGGTTATGGGAAGGAGTGAGCATCAAATAAAATAATCCACACAAAGTGCTGGCACAGAGGAAGTGTTGAAGATGTTAACCTTTATCAGTATTATTATTACTTGTGGACATAAGACCTAGAGGGTGGCCAGGTGTGGTGGCACACACCTGTAATCTCAGCACTTTGGGAGGCCAAGGTGGGAGGATCACTTGAGGTCAGGAGTTCGAGACTAGCCTGGCCAACATGGTGAAACCCCATCTCTACTAAAAATACAAAAATTAGCTGGGCATGGCGGCAGGCACCTGTAATCCCAGCTACTTGGGAGGCTGAAGCAAGAGAATCGCTTGAACCCGGGAGGTGGAGGTTGCAGTGAGCGGAGATCGTGCCACTGCATTCCATGCAGCCTGGGTGACAGAGCGAGACTCCATCTCAAAAAATAAAATAAAATAAAAATAAACCCTAGAGGGTAACATCACTAGGTACCTCCAGTTCCTTGGAGGTTTTACTCCAAGATCAATGAGAAGAACATTAGGAAATTCACCCTGAGTGTCTGCCCTTCCTTCTGTCTTTAAATAGGGAAAGAGCAGGTTGGGAATGGTCCTAACGGTTAGGAAGTGTTCAGCTGCAGACAGACACCTCACCATGAGTGCCTTCAGCCATGGGGTTGGATTTTCCTGAATAATAAGTCTGAAGTGGGCCATCCAAGGCTTTCTGCACCTCAAGAATGCCAGAGCTCGGGATTGACGTTACTGCCATTCTGGTGGCTTCAACTCAGACTCAGCTCCAGCCACGACTGTCAGCCTCTTAAATGCAGTGGGGAGAGGAGAGAAAGGACATTTCCCAGAATTTCTCAGAGCAGCTGGCATTGACTCCCATTGGCCAGAACTGGGTCATATGGGTTCCCACAGCCAGCGAATGGGTAAAAATTCTTTGCCAAGGCCAATGTCAAAAAGGGTATTTCCTGGGTTTTCTTCCAGGATTTTTATAGTTTGAGGTCTTACATTTAAATATTTCATCCACCTTGCGTTGGTTTATATGGTGAAATGTAGGGGTCCAGTTTTGCTCTTCTGCACATGGCAGCCAGCAATCCCAGCGCCATTTGTTGAATAGAGACTCCTTTCCCCAACAATGGGATTTTACAAGCAAGCAGAGTGGGGTGGCCGGGGGTGCCCACAACAATCTTCTTCCCTGGGATGCACTTATGGGGAAGGGGGAATATTAGAGACACCGAGGATCCCCATCCTCAACTTCCCCAGGAGCTGAAGGTCATCAAGGCCTCAGGTGGTACCTAGCAGATGCCGACTGTGTGCCTAGCCTCATGCCTGACACAGAGACGTACAGGAGACATGGGCTGGTTCCTAAAACAATGGAGTCAGGTGATAGAAACAGGACACACACGTGCACACACACACGCACACAACTATATAAAGAGTGGGATCCTCAGTCGCTGCAGGCTGGCCTGATATAGTGGGTCCCAATGCCCTGGGCCTTGAAGAGTGGGAGGGTAGGGGGAGAAAGGAGAGGCAAGGGCATTCCAGGAAAGGGGCCCAGCCTGAGCAAAGGCAGACAGGAGCGTGTGATCTCAACCAAGAGCCTCTTTCCATATTGAAAAAACTTCTGTTAAATGGCAAGGTCTACACTGAATGCCAAGTATGCAGAGAGAAGAATCTCAGTCCTTTTCCTCAATGAGCTCATGGTCTTTCAGGCATCCATTCACTTCTACCCCCTGCCCACCCCATGCAAAACAATCGATGAATATCATTTGCTATAACCCAAGCACGGTGCTAAGCACTTCGCAGACATAATCTCAGTTGATCAGCACAATAAACCTACCAGTAGGAACCATTAAGACCCTCAGTTTACAGAGGAGGAAAAAAATGGGCACAAAGAGGTTAAATAGCTAGAGAGGCAGGAAGAGGGTAAGAGGGCATCAGTGGGGTAAAAGAATACTGTGTTCCCTGTAAATGTATATAATTACGATTTGTCCATCAAAAATAATATTAATACAAAGCAAACAAAAATACTATGTGCCAATCTTAGTTCAGCCACAAACATCCTGTGTGAACCTGGGCAAGTCCTCTCCCACCCTGGGCCTCAGCTTACCCACCTGTAAAAGGGATGCAAAGTCTCAGAGCTGCAAGGCTCTGAGGTATGAGGGTCTGCAGATGCTGCCGTGCATTAGAAATACCTGAGGACCTGCTAAAAGTCTTGATGTCCTGGTCCGATCACAGGCCAATTAAATCAGAATGTCGATGGGTGGAAGGCAAGCACAGCTTTGCTTTGTTTTGTTTGAGACAATGTCTTACTCTGTGGCCCGGGCTGGAGTGCAGCAGCGCAATCACGGTTCACTGCAGCCTCGACCTCCTGGATTCAAGTGATCCTCCCACCTCAGAGTAGCTGGGACTACAGGTGCTGCCACCACACCCAGCCATTTTTTTTTAATGGTCTCCAGGTGATTCCAAAAGTGAAACAAAGTTTGGGAACCACTGGTCTGAGGATTCCCACTTTCTGGCCTCTTGTGATACCACGGGGATAGCCTGAGACAGGATGAGGGTATTGAGCCAAAAAATAAATTAAATTAAATATCCAGAATAGGCAAATCCATGGAGAGAGGAAGCAGATGAGCAGTTGCCAGGGACTGGGAGGAGAGGAGAATGGGGTACAGGGTTTCCTTTTGGGGGAAATGAAAATGTTGGGAAACTAGATAGTGGTGATAGTTGCACAACACTGAATGTGCTGAACTGTATGCTTTAAGAAGGTGAAAATGGGGCCGGGCACGGTGGCTCACACCTGTAATCCCAGCACTTTGGGAGGCCAAGGCAGGCGGATCACTTGAGGTCAGGAGTTCGAGACCAACCTGGCCAACATGGCAAAACCTCATCTCTACCAAAAAATACAAAAATTAGCCAGGCATGGTGGTGGGCACCTGTAGTCTCAGCTACTCTGGAAGCTGAGGCAGGAGAATCAGTTGAACCCGGGAGGCAGAGGCTGCAGTGAGCTGAGATCCACCACTGCTGTCCAGCCTGGGCAACAGAGCAAGACCCTGTCTCAGACAAACGAGATGGTGAAAATCGGAATCTCTATGCTATGTGTCTTTTACCACAACATTTTAAAAAACAAAGCAAGCAGGGAGGGAGGGAGGGATGGAAAAGAAAAATAGAAATTACAGTAAAAATAGGGCATGACTTACAGGAGGTCAGAACTTTAAGGTCAAACAGGGGGACACCCAGGATAAGAGCTTAGCCTCTGGAGGCCGACCCAGGTTCAAATCCCCACTCTACAACTTGCTAACTGGGTGTTGTGTGATCGTGAGCAAGTGACCTCCCCTCTCTGATCCTCTATTGGTGCGTCTGTAAAACGGAGGTAAGCAAAGCACCGACCTCAGCGAGTGGCCGCGAGGCTGGAATAGCAAACGCCGGGCATACACGGCGTGATGAGTGAAGGCCGCTGTGACTCTGGGCCCGCGGGAAATCATCTCGGGAGTTTTGTGGGGACCAAGCACAAGGGAGGAGAGGCGCCCCAGCGCGAGGCTGTCCCCACCCCAACCCCGCGGCCCGGGGGCCCCGACTCAGCGCGGTCCTGGCCTCACCTGGTGCTGCTGACCGCCCACGCCCGCCGCCCGCCTTTCATCTCCCCTGCCCGTGGCTCCGGGCACTGCTTTCCCAATTGCCCGGACCACGCCAGCGCCCGGGCTCTCGGCTTCGCGCGGGGCTGGGCGGGCGGAGCGCGGCAGCCTCCAGGTAGGGCCGCCGCCAGGTGAAGCCGCGCCGCTTCGCCTCTTCCCGGTCTGTGGCGACACCTGCTGGCCGTCCGTGGAAGGACACACCCTCCGCTCCCACCACCTGCTTCCATTCAGCCCATTCATCACTCAGCCCCTCACTATGCGCCCTGCAGGTATCGCGCCAGGTGTCCGGGACTTTCAGGCAGAGAAATTAAGCAAAGAAAAAAATGCAGGTTGCATCATTTCTTTTTCAGACACAGAATAATTTTAGTTGGGGAGATCCCAGCCAACTTAAAAGAAGCTAAGAAACTCTCCATGGGATGGGAGTGGAACTAATCCAAGCATCAGAAACAGCCTGTGCAAAGGCCTGGAGATAGGAAGGAGCCCCGCTCTTTGGAGGAAGTGAAATTGACCAGGAAACTTGAGCAGAGTGGGATATGGTATGAAGTTTGCAGAGACCAGGTGAGACCTTCCTTCCACGCTGTCACTGTTACGTTGGAACAGGCCTGGAACGAAAGGGATCTGCCCTATTTTATAGACTGTGGTGGTGATCTAGAGGGATTCTCTCCAGACACATCTGCTGTGGGTTTCTGAGAATCATTTATTCATTCAACAAACTTTTCCTGAGCAGCTTTTATGTGCCAAGGGCTGTGCTAAGTATAAAATGCACAATGGCAATGAGACATATTCCTTGAGGTGCTCCTAATCTTGTGAGAATATCTAACCAGACCAGGAAGACTGGAGAAGTCTTCCTTTCTCAGGAGCTCTTTCAATCCTCCACATCCCAGCCCCCCAAGACAAACACAAAGGAATGAATCCATAATGGTGGACATTTGAGATAAGTGGAGGGTAGTAGAGGAGATATTTGAGCTTTTGAAAGCATGCTAGAGGAATGAATCCCTATCCCCACTGAGCTCCAGTTTTGTACAGGGAAAAAATTAAGTCACAGAGGGATTGAGTCAGGAAACCAAGCTAGACCGCTACAGAGATGTCAGGATCTTCAGGGCAAGTTAAGCTCAGAGGACTTGTCTTGGTAATAGGGGTTCACCCAAGTTCTAGGACAGAACTTTTGCAAGAGGATTCTCAAAACACACCCACCCAAGGCAGGCTGATGGAGCTCACATGACCCACCACCATCTTCTACATCATCTGCCTCAGCTGGAACTTGCCCGGAACCAGCTCCCAAGTCACTGATTGATGAAACCAAAGAAGGTTTACTAAGCACAGACCCTGTTCCAGTATTGCAGTCTCGGGCTGGAATACGCTTACAAAGATAAAGGCCACCCGTGAACAGCAAAGGGCAGGTTGATGTTTAAACAAATTATTTCAACCTGCTGTGATAAAATGAGGAAATGGAGGTGATTTGCAATTTTTAGGAGACACAGTAAGCTGTAGGATTCATCCTGAGCAGCTTTATGCATTAATCTGTGTTCGCACTGCTATAAAGAAATACCCAAGACTGGGTAATTTATAAAGGAAAGAGGTTTAATAGACTCACAGTTCCACCTGGCTGGGGAGGCCTCAGGAAACTTACAATCATGGTGGAAGGCGAAGGGGAAGCAGGCACCCTCTTCACAAGGCAGCAGAAGAACGTGAGTGCAAGAAGGAGGACGTGCCAGACTTTAAAACTATCAGCTCTCGTGAGAACTCACTCACTATCACGAGAACACCATGGGGGAACCACCCCCATGATCCAATCACTTCCCTCCCTCAACACGTGGGAATTACAGGTCCTTTCCTGTGTTTTAACTTCCCTCCAGGTGATTCTGATGCCCTCTGAAGATTGAGAACCTCTGATCAAGGAAGAAAAGTCCAGAGGAGCCTATAAATGTGTTTTTAACAAGCTACCCAGGCGATTTTGTATGACCCATGTGTCTGGAAACAGTACTTTAGTTGAAGCCACTGATTTTTCTTTTCACCTTTTACATTGCCTATTACATTGCCTATTTCTTCTTTATCTCAGAATGAATGTCTCATCTTCATTCTATAAGAATGTGGTTTTTTCTCATGAAGAGTCATGTTCCACACCAAAAAGCCAAGAGAACAGATGGTATCAACTAGAGAAATAGCAACCTAGGGCTCTCCTGATTTTAGCATTGAACGTCCCATGTCCCAGAAGAACCTTAACTTCTGAGCAAACTGGGACAGTTGATCACCCTACATGGATATTTATACATGGGCATTTACTGTGACCCAAAGAACAATCAACATAAAATGCTGAGAGTCTTGGATTATACATTCCACAACATTTTCATGCCAGTCCTAATTCTAATCCACATCTTGAAATCTTCACCATCGTTATCTTTATGACTTACTATTTCTGATCCACTTTAATTAACAAAGCTTACAGACAAAATGCTACACATTTCATTCTTCTGGCCATTTGACTTATGAATATCATTAAAACTTGACTGTGTAAATTGAAAATGAGCATTCTGTGATTTAGCAATTCCACTCTTAAGTTTCTAGGAGAAACTTCTAGAGAAGTTAGGTAGAAGAGACTTCTACCTTGCTACATTGATTGCAGTCCTCTTGGAATATAGAAGCAACACAAATGATCAACAGGAGAATGGATGACTATATTGTGTTGTTTTGAAACAGGAGAATGCTACATGGAACTGTAAAGTAAATGAACCAAAGCCACATATATCTACACGGATACCTCAGAAACATAGTCTTGTGTGCAGAAATCAAGTTGCAGGAAGCTATATCTACCTTATTCACATGAAGTATAAATGACTGCAACTGGTGTATAAATCTTACAGATGCAGAATATGTAATAAAAATACAAAAATAGGGCCAGGCATGGTGGCTCATGCCCGTAATACCAGCACTTTGGGAGGCCGAGGCGGGCGGATCACGAGGTCAGGAGATCGAGACCATCCTGGCTAACACGGTGAAACCCAATCTCTACTAAAAATATAAAAAATTAGCTGGGCATGGTGGTGGGCACCTGTAGTCCCAGCTACTCGGGAGGCTGAGGCAGGAGAATGGCGTGAACCCAGGAGGCGGGGCTTGCAGTGAGCCAAGATTGCACCACTGCACTCCAGCCTGGGCGATAGAGCAAGACTCCATCTCAAAAAATATATATATAAAAATAGATATGCAAATAATACACACAGTACAATGGCTACCTCCAGAGACAGGGAGGAATGGATGAAGAGAATAAGACCTGAAAGTGAATTTTAAGTGGATCTTTTTAACTTATCTCTTAAGCTGAGACACATGAATAATCATTGTGTTATTCTCTGAACTTTTGGTATGTCTCAACTATTTCATCGTAAATATTTTGCATATTTGTTCTTTGTGCAGGGATCCCTGCTGTTTTTAATATACAAAAGCCCCATGACTTGCTCATACTTTAAAACTCCTAGTCTATCTAAGCTAAAATTGAGTTTCTTGTGCTACACTAAGTTTGTATGTTAAGGAAACAGTCAGTATGTTTCTTGTTCATCACTGAATTCCCCATGCCTAGCAAAGACGTATTTGCAAATGAATAAAATATTGACTAAAACATCTTCATTTTATAGATGAAGAAACTGAGACTCAGAAGTGATATGGTTTGCCCCAAACCAGATACTGACATAGAGGGAGAGCCAGGGACTAGAACCCAAATATCGTGAATCTTCCAGGCCACTGCTTATTCCAATGCACCAGTGGTTCTTGAAGGTTCATCCCCCAATCTGCTTGTTTCTGGCAAGCCCAACAGTATACCTTCACAGTTTTGCCTCAGGGCAATGCCAGTTCTCCTATTTTCTGCCAGAATATAGTTCACAGAGGTATTGAACTCTTGGCTCACTGCACTGAAAATATTACACTGATTGGCTCTGCTGAGCACCAATGGAGTAGCCAGGTACTTAGATGCCCTGGTAATATATGCAGATGAGAGGGTGGAAAATAAATCCCACAGAAATTCAGGAGCACACCTCCTCAGTGAAGTGCCGGGGGCTCAATGCTATGAAGAATGTCAAAATTTCTCCTCCAAGGTGAAAGACAAGTTGCTGCATTTCACACCACCAAAAACCAAAAAGGAGACATGATGATTGGTAAGCCTTTCTAGATCCTAGAGGCAACATGTAATGCATCTGAGTGTGCAGTTTTGACCTATTGAGAGAGTTACCCATAAGGCTGCTAGTTTTGAATAGAGACAGAAAAGGCTCTGCAATAAGTTTAGGCTGCAGTACAAGCTGACCTATAACTTGGGCCTGTAATCCAGCCAACACAGTGACACAGTAGTGGTTCTAATGGATTGAAGATGAGCCTATAACCTGGACATTTCAGACTCCTTATGCCACTGAACCAACAGGAAAAAAGTGGGAGGAGTTAATTTATTGGCTGGAGTGATTGATGCTGATTACCAAGGGGAAATTGCATTGTGATATGGCTTGGCTCTGTGTCCCCACCCAAATCTTATGTTAAATTGTAATCCTCAATGTTGGAGGTGGGGCCTGGTGGGAGGTGATTGGATCATGGGGGTGGTTTCTAATAGTTTAGCACCATCTCCCTAGCACTTGTTGTTTAAAAATGTGTAGCACCGGACAGGTGCAGTGGCTCATGCCTGTACTCCCAGCACTTTGGAAGGCCAAGGCAGATGGATCACGAGGTCAGGAGATCAAGACCATCTTGGCCAACATGGTGAAACCCAGTCTCTACTAAAAATACAAAAAAAAAAAAAAAAATAGCTGGATGTGGTGACACGCACCTGTAGTCCCAGCCACTCGGGAGGCTGAGGCAGGAGAATCACTTGAACATGGGAGGCGGAGGTTGCAGTGAGGCAAGATCGCCCCACTGCACTCCAGCCTGGGTGACAGAGCAAGACTCTGTCTCAAAAAAACAAAAAAATGTGTAGCACCTCCCCCTTCATTATTTCTCCTTCTCTGGCTATGTAATGTGTGCGTCCTTCCTCTTCACCTTCCGCCATGATTGTAAGTTTCCTGAGGTCTCCCCAGCCATGCTTCCTGTACAGCCTGCAGAACTGTGAGTCAATTAAACCTCTTCTCATTATAAATTACCCAGTCTCAGATAGTTCTTTCTAGCTACGTGAGAACAAACTAATACAAGTTGCTTCAACACAGCAGAAGCAAGGAGGACTACGTCTAGAACTGGGGAATTCTCTGGATGCCTCTTAGTACTTCCATGCCAAATAGTAAAGGTTTAGGGGAAACTGCAGCAAGCAAAACATGTCAGGATGGTTAAGAACTCAGATCCTTCAGAAACAAAGGTTTTGGTCACTCCACCAAGTAAAGAACCCCAACCAGTTCACATTCTGACTGAGAGTGGAGTGAATACAGATGAGTAGCAGGAGAAAGATGCCGTAGATATCAATTACGACCTCATGACCATGATTACAGGAATGAAAATGTAATGTTGCATATTTTCTACCTGCTTGTGGTATGCACGTGTTTGTCTGTATACATCAACCATTTCCTTCTTTTCCTTTCTTCTCATTTTTATTTTACAGATAAGTGTTTAGAAGTTAACTTTACAATTTAGCCTTTAGGCTAAACAGGATATCAGTGGGATTGGGACTAAATTTCAGGAATGGTTTATATACTCAGTGACAGCTACAATGACTCCTAGGACTGTGTATCTCCTCATTTTGGAGAAAAAGATGAGAACTTAACTTGCGGGAAGCATAGCCCTATCTTGTTATGTAGAAACATAAAGTTGTTTTATTGTTGTCTGTAAAATAAAAATGTGTGCAGCGGAGTGCATATGAAAGCTGAGTAGTCAAAGGAAGGGACATTATCAACATATTGCCTCATGATCCCAAATTCATCCTTCTTGCCTTCTGTGTAAAAAGGAATCTGGGCCCTTTAAGTATTTTTCCCTTTACCAGATGGTACAATATTAAGTTTGCCAATAGATGGCGTTGGAGAGACATTGCGGGATGAAAGGGTTTTGCTTTCTGCAGCTGATGGCAGCTCACTAGGTTTCTTTAGGGCTCCCGTAATGCCCCGTTCCTGTAGCTCAGGAGGCTTCCCCAGCCCTGGCTCCGGCAGCGCATGGCAGCAGGTTGCATCCAGCAGCCTCCCCCAGCAATCCCCTTCACCCACCCACCTTCCAGCAGTTTTGTAGCAGAGTGCCTCCAGTAAGACACCTCCCAGTAACAGCTTTTCCCAGCACCCTGGGGGTGGATTTCCAGCAAGTTCCACCAGTACAGCATCACAGCACCTCTCTGGCATCTGCTGAACCATGGCCATGCCTGTCCAATAAGGTCTGGATGTCAGCCCTGTTGGTGGAGGCTCTATCGCAGCCCTAGGGGTAGTAGCTTCCCCTTATATTTGCTATTGCCATAGTCTTTAAATTCTTCTTTACTTATTACATCCTCACTAATATAATATAAGGCAAGTAGGAATGGTCCTTGGCGAGGGGGCTTCTCAAAAGAACATCTCAGCCGGTCCTGCCCTCTCCTAACCCCTACCCTGCCATCTTCCTTCCCTCCTTCTCTACTCCTCCCTCTCAGAGCCCCCTCATCCTCTTCCTCACCCTCTTCCCCTCATTCTCCTTGTTTCCTCTCTTTCTTCTCCTCTCCTCTGTCTCCTTTCTCCCCACCCCCTTCTCCTTCTCCTCTTCTGTCCCTCTCTTCCCTTCTTCCTCACTTCTCACCTCCTTCCTACCCCTTTTGAAAAATAAACAGCACCACCTGCCCTGCACTTGACATGACGCAAACATCAGATGCGTTAGTGCTTGGCAGAGGGCTTCCTTGCTTCGCTCTGATGTCATGCAGGGAAAAGGTGGACAGAGACACCAGGCAGACACAGCAGGCCGCTGGTGGTCACCTCCCCAGCCCGGCCATCTGCACAGAGCTGGCCCCCCTTCAAACACCTCCTGGAAATTCCATCTCCAAGACATTCTCCTGCACTCTGGCCCCAATCACTGCCTCTGAGTGTCCTCCACTGGCCCCAATCACTAGTTCTGAGAGTCCTCCACTGGGTAGCCAAGGATCCACAGGAGGCCGCAGGGAGGAGGCAGGGACTCACGGCTTCTCCAGGCAGGGCCGCTCATGAAGGTTGTTCCCCAAGCTGAGATGGCAACTCAGGGTTGATTTTGGAAGAGAAGGGTGTGTGTGTGTGTGTGTGTGTGTGTGTGTGTGTGTGTGTGTGTGTGTGTGTGTGTGTGTGTGTGTATAAGAGAGAGAAGAGGAAGAAGGAGAAGAAGAAGGAGGAGGAGGGAGAAGAAGGAGGAGGAGGAAGAGGAAGAGGAGGAGGCAAGAGAGAGACAGAGAAGAAGAGAAAGAAGAGGAGGAGGAGGAAGAAAACAAAAAAGACAGAGGAGACAGCAAGACAGAGAAGAAGGAAGAGGAGGAGAGGGAGAAAAGAGAGACTGAGAGAGAGGGCAGGGAGACAGAGAGATCAGAGAATGTGGATTGAAAACTCTACCTGCAAAGGTCTAAAGAAAAGTCGAGGCACACAGACGACGTGCCACAAGGCGTGAAGGGGCTGAAAATTTCATCCTGGAAGCAGAACGCTCCCCAGAAGAGTGAGGAAGCCAGCGCCCCCTGGGATGTTCAGTGTACCCCACACACCCCCGCCCCACCACAGCCAGGTATGGCGTCGGGAGATGAGGAGGTGAGCAGAGTTGCTACCTGCAAGGTCACAGCTGGTTTTTGATAACTGACTGTGGGGTATGCTGTGCCCGCCCAGTGGGAGGGCTGCTGGGTGGATTACAGTGGAGTCTCACACACTGGAACGCAAGGTGTCCACCTGGAGAAGGAAAGGGATAGATGTGTATGAGAATGGAAAATTACCTGTGATGTGCTGATCAAGAAAGAAAAGCAGTTTGTAAATGTATATGTGAACGTGGACATTTTTCTTTTTTTGAGACAGGGTCTAGCTCTGTCGCCCAGGCTGGAGTGCAGTGGTGCGATCTCGGCTCACTGCAGCCTCAAACTCCCAGGGTCAAACAATCTCCCACCTCAGCCTCCCAAGTAGCTGGGACTACAGACACGGGCCACCATGCCCTGCTAATTGTTTTTGATTTTTAGTAGAGACAAGTCCTCACTATATTGCCCAGGCTGGTTGCAAACTCCTAGGCTCTAGCGATCCTCCCACCTCAGCCTCCCAAAGCGCTGGGATTACAGGCGTGAGCTACTGTGCCCAGCCAAACATGGACAATTTTAATTAAAGCTGGAGGGATGAAGCATCACCTTGTGAACAACCATAATCTCAAGAGAAAAGGAGATGAGGAATGCACAGATCATCACTTTCAGCTTCATAGTCTTCCGTAGCATTTGACTGTTTTACAATGTGCATACGTCATTTTGTGATAAAATTGAGATATTTCTCATTTGAAAAATGAATATATAAAATGCAAAAACTGATGCAAGTCAAATTCCCTCTCCAGGCCTCAGTTTCCTTATCTCTAAAGCAGGGGTGACCTTCACTCCCTCCCATGGTTTGATCTATTTAACAAAGTCTTATGTAACACTTTTTCTGTGTTGGGTACCATTCCACACACTTCACAAACATTCATTCATTCAATCTTTGTGCCAGGTCTACAAGGGCGGGACTATTAGTATGCCTGTTTTACAGATGAGGAAAACTGAGGCGCATAGAGGTTGAGTAAACTTGCTCAAGCACACTCAGCCAAGAAGTGGCAGAACCAAGATTCAAACTCAAGCAGTCAGGCTCTGGAATCTGACTCTTTAGCTACTAGGCAACTTTGTAAAGTGTTGGTGAGAGAATGTATATAAGGTAGTTACCATATAAAATGTATCAGTAATTTTTGGTGGAAGGCGAGATGCTTCTCAGACTCTGCCTAAAAGTGTGTGCTCCCACAAACCCCTGGCATGGCCTCTGGCACACCAAATCACCTGGGACCTGAATTAATGAAAGCGTGAATGAATGAAACCACAGCTGTTTGAATTCCAGCCGTAAGTTTCTTAGCTTTTATGCATCTCCATCATCTAGCCCAGGACATAGCACATAGTAGGGCTAAGGGATGGAGACAGGGAGAGAGTTGAATGCCCATGTGGCGCACAGTAGGCCCTCAGAGTCCTACAGGAAATGACTGACTCTTACAGCAGGATGGTTTTTTCTTCCTCCTGGAGCCCCATCCTGACTCTCTCACTAGACTGTGAGCACCAAGCGGACAAGGACCCCAGCACCCCGGTCAGGGCCTGGCACACAGTACGGGCTCAATGAAGACTGAAGAGCACATGGCTGAGCACGTGAGTGAGTGGGGGCTGGAGTAGAGGGCAGGCCAGGGCTGGCTGGGCTTCTGTCCTGGGAACTCAGGTTGGATGACCCCAAAGGGCCAGCACCCTTGCCTCTCTGAATTCTTGAGGTGGCACCAAGCTGCGCCCTGGGCTGGGGGTGAGGGGTAGGGGGGCAGCTGCACCTTCTTCTCTTAGGGGAGGTGAGTGGAGAGGCCATGGCAGGGAAGGGAAGGAAGCCTGCAGGCTGTTGATGGGGGCCTGTGGCTAAGACGAACCCACTCCTCCCTGTTCCCTCCAGGAAAAAGCATCCTAACCCTGAGGAAAACGTTCTTTAAGGAAAGTGTGTGCAGGCTTCTCCCAAAAGGCCTCCTCCTCTCTCCGTCACCCAGAGAAGCACCAGTGTCCACCCTATGAGAAGTCCCACCCAGGCAGCTGGGCGCAGTGGCTCACACCTGTAATCCCAGCACTTTTGGAGGCCGAGGCGGGCAGATCACGAGGTTAGGAGTTCAAGACCAGCCCAGCCAACATGGTGAAACCTCGTCTCTACTAAAAATACAAAACTTAGCTGGGGGTGGTGGCGCGTGCCTGTAATCCCAGCTACTTAGGAGGCTGGGGCAGGAGAATTGTTTGAACCCAGTAGGCAGAGGTTGCAATGAGCTGAGATCATGCCACAGCACTCCAGCCTGGACAACAGAGCAAGACATCATCTCAAAAAAAAAAAAAAAAAAAAAAAAAACAAGAACAAGAAGTGCCACCCAGGAAGGCTCCCCTGCCTAAGTAAAGCCCCATGAGTAGTATTAAAAATCCCTTCTATTTTCCAGGACCCCCCCCCACCCCCTCCCCCGAAACGTGATCTGTTTCAGCCCCTTTCACCTGCTTCCCTACTGCAGAAGAGACTCCCATTGGCCCTGGCCCAGGAAAAGGGCCCAATCAACACCTATGCTAGCCTCATTCGGGGAACATTTCCTGAGCACCTTCTCCAGGCAAGAGCCACACTGGTTGCTGGGCAGGCAGTGGGGAGACTGGGGGTGATGGCTTAGGAGCTTCCAGTCGGGTGGACTGTGGAGCTTCCAGTGGGGTGGATCTATAATCAGATCAAGGCCATCCGTGGTACTGTGGACTCTGTCTGGAGCCCAGAGGAGCTAGCCCCAGGGCCAGCATGGAAGACTTCCTGGAGGAGGTGATGTCTGAGCAGAGACTGGGAGGAAGAGCTTGAGTTGAAAGAGTGGGGTTAGAGATGGAGAAAGTGTCCTGAGTTAAGAGAAGGCCTGGTTTAGTGGAGGAGTTGAGAGTCATACCATACAGCAGGTAAAGGAGTGGGTATGTGCAGCCAGGATGGGGAGGGGAACCCGGCCAGGTTCATTCTGCCATCCAAGGGGGCAGAGAAGGGGACATTTGTTCCAGCCCCTCCGGTCCTGGTGCCTGCCTTTCCTGCAGGACTGGCCAATGCCCTGAGGCTTGAATTTCCAAGATGCTCCTTCCCCTTTTGTCCTCATGCCTGATATGGGTTGAATTATGTCCCCTGAAAAAGACATGTTGAAGTCCTAACTCCCAGTACCTTCGAATGTGACTTTATTTGGAAATACGGTCTTTGCAGATGGAAATAAGTTAAGATGAGTTTGCACTGGATTAGAGTGGGCCCTAAATTCAATGACCAGTGTCCTTACAGGGAGAAGGCTTAGAGACACAGACGCGCACAGAAGGAAGGCGGCCACATGACGATGGGGGCAGAGACTGGAGTGATGCAGCTACAGGTAAGGAGCACCAAGGTGCAGCAGCCACCGGGCTCTGGAAGAGGCACGAAGGATGCTCCTCTAGAGCCTTCGGAGGGAACACGGCCCTGCCAATGCCTCGGTTTCAAATTTCTCGGCTGCAGAAAAAATTTCTGTTGCTTTCAGCCACCTGGTTTGTGGCGATTTGTTACACAGCCCTGCGAGACTAATGCATACCCCAAGAACTGCATGGGTAATTCCAGCTCACATTGGCTGTGCTTTGGAAATCAGTACCTGGAGTTTGGCAGGACCGAAAAGGGCTAGGGACTGGCTGGGGTGATGCTTTCTAATGCTACAGTGTCGGTCACTTTTCTAGGGTTATTGGCCCTCATAAAATAGTTAAGCTGGCCAGGGTGGCTCATGCCTGTAATCCCAGCACTTTGGGAGGCCGAGGCGGGCAGATCACCTGAGGTCAGGAGTTTTGAGACCAACCTGGCCAACATGGCAAAACCCCGTCTCTACTAAAAATACAAAAATTAGCTGAGCATAGTGGTTCATGCCTGTAATCCCAGCTACTCAGGAGGCTGAGGCAGGAGAATCGCTTGAACCCGGGAGGCAGAGGCTGCAGTGAGCTGAGATCACGACATTGCACTGCAGCCTGAGCGAAAGAGCGAGACTCCATCTCAAAAAAAAAAAAAAATCGCTAAGCTGAGTTAGCTGCTGAGCCTTCACTTTGCTGGGAATCTCGTATCTGCCAAAGGACTTGTCAAGTTGAGTTGAATACAAAATACTTGAGCTCAACAGAAAGACACAGGGGTGGGGGCCTGGAAGACCCCAAAATTTTTGTCTGCTTTCTTTTCTAAGATTCTTCGGCAACCTATCAAGTCAAAATGCCCCTGTTTGAGCCCCTATCAAGTCAAAATCTCTTCCTGAATTCAGAGCTGCTGTGAACACTTTTTTCCAGAAAGGAAATATGTTTAAATGCCTTTGCTAAGTAAAAAGTAAAATATGTTTGTTTGTTTTAATCAGAAAATACAAAGAAGAGCCAGGTGTGGTGATTCACCCCTATAGTCTCAGCTACTGGGGAGACTGAGGCAGGAGGATAACATGAGCCCAGACCAGCCTGGACAACATAGCAAGACACCTGTCTCTAAAAAGGGGAAAAAGAAAATACAAAGAGGTAGTAAGGAAAATAATTCAGCTCTAATCACACTCCACAGACAGAAAGAATAGGAATTTGCTGGTGTGTTTCCCTTTAGACTTTTTCCTTATAACATATAGACATATATTTTTTCCTACTAAATATGCATAATCTATCATAGTGTGTGTGCATACAGGCAACTCAAGAATATATTATTCCGGCTGGGCTTGATGGCTCACACCTGCAATTTGGGGAGGCCAAGGCAGGGGAATCACTTGAGCCCAGAAGTTCGAGGCTGCAGTGAGCTATGATGGTACCACTGTACTCCAGTCTGGACGACAGAGTGAAACCCCGTCTCTAATACACACACACACACATATATATAATATATACACACACAGACACACATATATAACATATACACACACATATATATTTGTATATATGTGTGTGTATACACACACACACACACACACACGTGCCCTAAGAGCTACATGGGTAATTATACACACATACATATATACACATATGTAATATGTACATATGCATATATCTGTGCATGTATATACATATATGTACAGATACATATAATTGGAATTATATATGCAATTGCAACTGAGGCTGAACATTGCCAGATTTTTTTCAAGTTCTAACTTGTCCTCTTTCCCAGAAATAACCACTCTCCTGACACTGGTGTCTATCATTCCCACATAGGTTTTTGTGGTTTTGCCTCATATACAAGTATCCAGAAACTACATGTACCATTGTTTTGTGTGTTCTGAAATTTTACCCAAAAACTTGCTATTGAAATGCACATTTTCTATTGCAATCTGTTCTCACTTAGCACCATGCTTTTAAAAATGTTGACGTCTATAGATCTAGTCCATACTTCTTGCGATGGTGTCTCTCTGAAGAATCCTAATACACCATTCAATAGGGTTGTTTTTTCTGTTATGAATAATCCACAGTTTGTTTAACCACTCCCCTGCTGAAGGCAATTGGGTTGTTCACTATGACTGACACATTGCAATAAGCATCCTTTTTACGCCTTTATAAAGGTTTCTTAGACAAGACCCCAAAAAGTGGAATTACCGCACATCTCCTAGGTATGACCCGTCTTCAGTGCAACTGGATACTGCAAAGTTATCCTTCAAAGACACTGAGCCAATGTTACTCCCGCTATTCTAAGAGATCCTGTTTGCCCACATTCTGGCCAACTCTTGAGGTTAACTAGATTTTTGGTTTAGTTTTTGCCAATAGGGTGAGAGTGAAATGGTATCTCATTCTTTTTACATGACTTTCCTCAATGTGTGGCACGTCTTTTCATGTTGATTGGCAGATCAGACTTCTTCCCCTGAATTGGCTATTTATAGCTCTTGCCTATTTTTCTACTGGGCTATTTTGTCTTTTTCCTGCTGATTTTTAGATCTTTATATATTCCTGAGACTGATTTTTAGTCTTTCCTGTGTGTTGCAAATATTTTCTCTGTAGCTGATCTTTTCACATTGGATGGAAAGTTTTTTTCTCTGGAAGTTTTTAGTTATGAGTTTGACTTCTTATATTCTTTTTTTAAAGAGTCTCATTCCAACATCATAAAAATATTCAGCCAGGTGTGGTAGCTCCTGCCTGTAATCCCAGCACTTTGGGAGGCTGAGGCAGGGAGATTGCTTGAGACCAGGAGTTTGAGACCAGCCTAGTTAACATAGTGAGACCCCCATCTCTACAAAAAATACAAAAATTAGCTAAGGTTTGTGGCGCACACCTGTAGCCCCAGCTGCTTGGGAGGCTGAGGTGGGAGGCTCGCTTGAGCCTGGGAGGTTGAGGCTGCAGTGAGCCGTAATCACACCACTGCACTCCAGCCAGGGTGACAGAGACCCTTTCTAAAAAAATAAAATCTGTTTTCCTTTAACAGTTTTAAGGTTATGCTTTTCATATATAGCTCTTACTCCTCTCAGGCTACTGCAAGAGTGACATTTTATCTTTTTTTTACATATGGACAACCAACTTCCCAGCACTAATTATGTGTACCTACCTGGGTGTGGGACTGTCTGGACTCGGTTTTGCTTTCCCACTGATTTGCAACACTGTTGTCATAAAACAGGCACACTATGTGTCAGGCTCTGGGTTCTGTGCTGTTGATCTATTTGTCTGTCCCTGCACCAGTGCCATATTGTCTTAGTAACTACAGTGTTATCATAAGTTCTGCATCCTGGTAGGATGAATCCTTTCCTTTTTAGACTTCCCTTTCAAATTTTGTCTTGACTAGTCTTAACACCAATCTTCCAAAGAAATTTTGGAGTCAGATTGATATGTTTCACACACACTATCTCTCCGCTGCAATATTTATTGGAAGTGCACTTAATTTATAAAATAATTGGGAAGACTTGATCTTGTCATGGTATCAAGACTTCCTGTTGGTGGCTGGGCACAATGGCTCATGCCTATAATCCCAGCACTTTGGGAGGCCAAGATGGGTGGATCACTTGAAGTCAGGAGTTCGAGACCAGCCTGGCCAACATGACGAAACCCTGTCTCTACAAAAGATACAAAAATTAGCTAGGCATGGTGGTGCATGCCTGTAGTCCCAGCTACTTGGAAGGCTGAGGCAGAAGAATCACCTGAACCTGGGAGGCGGAGGTTACCGTGAGCTGAGATCGCGCCACTGCACTCCAGCCTGGGTGACAGAGTGAGACTCCGTCTCAAAAAAAAAAAAAAAAAAAAAAAGTCCTGTTGGTATTAGAGGGATCCTAACAGACAGATCCTGATATATCAATGGCTTAACACATTTGTTTCTTGCTCTCACAATGACCAATGTCCCCAGTTGGCTCTGCTCCATCTTGCAGTTTACAGCTTGAGAACACATGGCTTTTAAGACTCTCTGGCTGGGGAAGAGGGGACAATGGAAGTGAAACACATCCCTCCCACTCACAACCCATTGGCCAGAACCAGTCAGATGGCCCCAACCTGGCTGCAAGGGAGCCTGGGAAATGGCACAGAGCACGTGGAATATTGGTGAAGACAGTTCCTGTCACTTGCTCTATCTCTGCATATTTTTAGGTCTTCTTGAATTGCTATCAACTTTTCATTGCTATTTTAAGTACATTTTTATTCATTGTGTTTTCTTATCATTTGTTGCTCATATACAGAGACTGTTTTTTTGTCATATACATTTTGTAAGCAGCAACATTACTGAACTCTTTTATGCTAATGATTTTTGTGTGAATTCCTTTGGAATTTCTAGGTAAATGAAAAATTGTGAAAAATAATTTTTTTCTCCTTTTCAAATCCTCATTCCTTTGAAGCGACTCTGGCTAAAGCCACCAGTACGATGCTGATCAGAGACACTTGATTTTACACGTGACTTCAAAGGGTTTGCTTTTAACATTTTGCTAAATTACATAACCCCGCTGTCACTCAGTTGTCCCGTCTATAAAAGGAGAATTATGATAGCACCTTTTAAAGGGTTGTTTTGAAAACTAGGCTGGGCACAGTGGCTCACGCCTGTAATCTCAGCACTTTGGGAGGCCGAGGCAGGCAGATCACCTGAGGTCAGGAGTTCAAGACTAGCCTGGCCTATATGGTGAAACCCCGTCTCTACTAAAAATAAAATAAAATAAAATAAAAGTTAGGCGTGGTGGTGGGTACCTGTAATCCCAGCTACTTGGGAGGCTGAGGCAGGAGAATCACTTGAACCCAGGAGGTGGAAGTTGCAGTGAGCTAAGATTGTGCCACTGCACTCCAGCCAGGGCCACAGAGTGAGACTCTGTCTCAAAAAAAAAAAAAAAAAAGAAAGAAAGAAAGACAAGAAAACTAAATAATATATATGACATGTAGTTAGAACAATTATTATCATTGATACTGTTATTAGTGTTAATATTGTTTGCTATAAATAACAAGGTAAATGTTCTTTACCAGATTAAAGAGGTTCTCATCTCATACTAGCTTGCTAAGTATGTTTTAATCACAAATACTGTTGAATTTTACAAATTATCATTGTGCATCTATTCTCTAATTTTGTAATAAAATTATTTGTAAAGACAGGGTCTCCCCATGTTGCTCAGGCTGGTCTTGAACTCCTGGACTCAAGCGATCCTCCTGCCTCAGCCTCCCAAAGTGCTGGGATTACAGGCATGAGCCACCATGCCTGGCCAGTGCATTTATTCATATTGATAAAATAAATTACATCTGTAAATTGCATCATCCTTGTGACACTCAGTTGATGATGACACATTTATTTTTTAACACCATTCTGGATTATCTGGGTAAATATGTTATTTTGGACTTTTCCATCAGTGTTCTAAGTGAGGATAAGCCTATAATTCTTCTTTCCCCTGGAACTTTCCTCTTCATCTCTTCAACTTCTACGTGTTCTCCAACAAGGAAGTCTAGCCCCCTCTCCTCTCTGTTTGCACTCCCTCTCTGCGTGACTGTCCTGCAGCTTGAATTCCAATTTTATATACCTCAGTGATTTACTACTTTTGCTAAATATCATTTTTAATAGTTGGTCATCTTGATGAATCTAGCTATAGTTTATTTATATTCCCAGCTAGATAATATTCCACTGCCTAACTACACCACAGTTTATGTTGATGAATATTTCTAGTTGGAAGCTATTGTAAATAATAATGCTATGAACATGCTTAACAAGTCTCTTGGTACAATGAGTTTCATTTCTTACATCTCTAGGAGTTGAACTGCACTTGTTTAGTATTTCAGTTCATCTTTGCTGTGTTAACAAACCACCCTGAAACATAATAGGCTAAAACAAGAATAATTTTTCACAGTTCTTTGGGTCAGCATTCTGGGAAGATCCAAAGAACTGTGGGATCTTTGGCTGGGACATTTGATTCTCTTTCATGTGGTCTCTTGAGAAGGCTGGCCTGGAGTTTTCCACGTGGTTGTCTCAGGGCAGCAAGAGATTGCAAAAGGAAGCCACAAGGCTTCTTGATGCCTGGCCTTGAAGTGCTCACTATGTCACTTCACTGAATTTCACATGGGACCCATCGCTGGCTCGGATGCAAGAGTGGAGAAATAAACTCCACTTCTTGATGGGAGGAGCTAGAGAAATCACATTGCAAATCATAGAACAGAGATTGGAGGAATTTGTGTACTCTTTTTGTAAGCCACCATATTCAACTTTAGTAGATATTTAAAAACTATTTTCCAAAACTGTTTTATTAACTTAGAAGTCTTTTTTTGGAACTATTTTCATACCTCCTTAGGTGGCCTTAATATATACATACATATATCTATCTATCTATCTATCTATCTATCTATCTATCTATATATCTCATGTATATATGTATGTTATATGCATATATATATATATATATTTTTTTTTTTTTTTGAGATGGAGTCTTGCTCATTGCCCAGGCTGGAGTGCAGTGGCACCATATCAGCTCACTGCAGACTCCACCTCCCAGGTTCAAGCGATCTTCCTGCCTCAGCCTCCTGAGTAGCTGGGATTACAAGCATGTGTCACCATGCCCAGATAATTTTTGTATTTTTAGTAGAGTCGGGGTTTCACCACATTGGCCAGGCTGGTCTCAAATTCCTGACCTCAGGTGATCCGCCCACCTCGGCCTCCCAAAGCACTGGGATTACAGGCGTGAGCCACCATGCCCGGCCTATATTTTTTATTCATATGTTCTTCTGTCTCCAAGATGCTCTATTTCGGGGGTCAGCAAAGAGCCAGATTAAGCTTGCAGGCTATCTCGTCTCTGTCACAATGACTCCGTTCCGCCATTGGAGTGAGAAAGCAGCCATGGAAAATGTATAAGTGATGACAAGTGGCTGTGTTCCAATAAAACTTTATTTGTAAAAACAAGTGATGGAAGAGGTCCCAGAAGTAGATTCACCTAATTACAATCAAATGATCTTTGGCCAAGGAGCAAAGTTTTCTCTCAATTTTGCTGTGAAAGGCAATAGAATGGAGGAAAGATTGTCTTTTCAACAAACAGTCCTAGACATCCACATGCAAAAAAAGGGAATTTAGACATAGATGTTAAAGCCTTTGCAAAGTTAATTCAAAGTGGATCATACGCCTACATACAAAACATGACACTATAAAACTTTCAGGAGATAACATAGGACCACATCTAGGTGACCTTGGGTACGGTGCTGACTTTGTGGATATAACACCAAAGGCACAATCCATGAAAGGAGTAATTGATAAGCTGGACTTCATTCAAATTAAAAGCTTCTGCTCTGTGGAAAACACTGTCAAAAGAATGAGAAGACAAGCAGAGACTAGGAGAATATATTTGCCAAAGACACCTCTGATAAAGGACTGTTATCAAAATGTGTAAAGAACTCTTAAAACTCTATAATAACAACCTGACTTTTTTTTTTTTTTTTGAGACAGTCTTGCTCTGTTGCCCAGGCTGGAGTGCAGTGGCAAAATCTTGGCTCACTGCAACCTCTGCCTCTCGGGTTCAAGCGATTCTCCTGCCTCAGCCTCCCTAGTAGCTAGGATTACAGGAGCCCGCCACCACGCCCGGCTAATTTTTGTGTTTTCAGTAGAGATGGGGTTTCACTATGTTGGCCAGGCTGGTCTCGAACTCCTGATCTCAAGTGATCTGCCCACCTCAGCCTCCCAAAGTACTGGGATTACAGGCATGAGCCACCACACCTGGCCCACAACCTGATTTAAAAACAGGCCAAAAACCTTAACAGATACCTCACCACAGAAGATATACAGAAGGCAAATAAAATAAGCACATGAAAAGATGTCCCTCATCTATGTCACCAAGGAAATTCAAATTAAAACAATGAAACCACTACACACACCTGTTAGAATGGCCCAAATCCAGAACACTGACAACACCAAATGCCGGCGAGAAGGTGGAGCAACAGGAACTCTCTCATTCACAGCCGATGGGAATGCAAAATGGCCCAGCCACTTTGGAAGATAGTTTGGTGGTTTCTTACAAAACTAAACCTACTCTTATGATACCATCCAGTAATCACATTACTTGGAACTTACAACAAGGATTTGAAAACATCTGGATATTCATAGCAGCTGCACATGGATGTTCATAGCAGCTTTATTTCTAATTGTCAAAACATAGAAGCAAACTTGATGACCTTCAGTAGATACATGAATAAATAAATGGTGATCTATCCAGACAATTTAATATTATTCAGTGCTAAAAAGACATGCACTATATGTTAAATGCATATTACTAAGCAAAAAAAAAAAAAACCCAGTTTGAAAAGGTTACGTGCTATGCAATTCCAACTATATAACATTATGGAAAAGCCAAACTATGGAAACAGTAAAAAGATCAGTGGTCACCGGGTATTAGGGGTAGGACAAAAGATTTTTAGAATAGTGAAACTACTCCATGATGCCACAATGATGGATACATTTCATTATGTATTGGCCCCTGTATTAGTCTGTTTTCATACTGCTACAAAGAACTGCCAGGGACTGGGTAATTTATAAAGGAAAGAGGTTGAATTGACTCACGGTTCAGCATGGCTGGGGAGGCCTCAGGAAACTTAGAATCAGCAGGTGAAGGGGAAGCAAGATACTTTCTTCACAAGGCGGAAGGAAGAAGAGCTCAGTGAAGGGGGAACAGCCCCTTATAAAACCATCAGATCTCATGAAAACTCACTCTCAGGAGAACAGCATAGGGGAAATTGCCCTCATGATTCAATTACCTCCACCTGGTCTCTCCCTTAACATGTGGCGATTATGAGGATTATAATTCAAGATGAAATTTGGGTGGGGACACAAAGCCTAACCGTATCAGTCCCAAACCCATAGAATGTACACCACCAAGCATGAACCCTAATGTGAGCTATGGACTCTGGGTGATAATGATGTGTCACTGTAGGTTCATCAGCTGTAGCAAATGTTCCACTCTGGCGCAGGATGTTGATGATGGGGGAGGCTGTGCATGTGGGGTGGGGGGCATAGGAGAAATCGCTGTGTTTTCCTCCCAATTTTGCTGTGAACCTAAAACTGCTCTTAAAAAATAGAATCTTTAAAAAACAAATAAAAAACAGATGGTAATCTGGATGTGGCCCATGGGCCATATTTGGCAACCCCTGTTCTATTACATTAATTGTGTGTTCTGAGAGCTCTGCCCATGCTGTTTGGCTTCCTTAGGTAAGGCATTTTATTTGTTAAAGCACAGGGGCTCGAGGAGGGTTGTGGAGCTTTCCTGTCAGGCAGGAATCTCTCGGCCTCACTGAGGCTCCAAGGATACAAAGCTGTCTTGATCTTGCCCCCAGGTTGTGACTCTCTAGATGCTGCTTGATTGTAGGAGAGAGAGCCACAAACCGGTCTGTCTGATGGATCCCAGATGACCCCAGGACTTGTTCATACACTTGCTCACAAACTACTGGACTCTAGCTATGAGCAGCTATTTCAGTCCAGGAGAGACAAATTACTTGGAGCTGTGAGTTGTGGGGAGGGAGCTATTTTGGGTGGACACCACCCAAAATATTTGCCTGGGTAAATGCACAGTATTTGCCTGGCTTATATTTTCTGTCCTTGTTCCAGGATCCCCCGCTCTTCCCTCTTCCTCCTTGCATCAGTGCCTTTGTGACTGCTGAGCCTTGCTTTTTGGTCTTGTTCATTATGTGATTAATTTTTGTAAATGCTTGAAAAAGATATGCAGTCTCTAATTATGGGGTTCTGTGCATGTCCATTAGATCTAGGCTGTTAATTGTGTCACTCTCATCATGTTCTTATTTACCTTTTGTCTATTTCAGCTCTCAATTACTGGGAGAAGCATGTTAAAATCTTCCACTGTAATTGTGGATTTGGGGTATGATGAGTGCATACAAGTTGAAAATTATTCTAGCTCCCTGTTAATTAAATCTTTTAACATTATAGTGTAAGCTTCTTTATTTCTGACAGTGCTATTTGCCTTAAAGTTTTTTCTGCCTGACAGCGATTTGGTCATACAAGCTTGTTCTCAGTATTTGCTTGACTTACATTTTTCTGTCTTTGTACTTCTAATCTTTCTGAGTCTTTACTGTTTTAGCTGTTTCTTTTATAAACAATGTATAGCTGGTTGCTGTTTTTATTTTTGTTTGTAATCCCATAAGACAATGCTTTTTGTTGATATTACTGATATATTTAGATTTATTGTGACTGCTGATATATTTGAATCTATTTCTAGAGTCTTTTTTGTATCATTTATCATTCTTTTTCTGTGCATCATTTTTTTCCCCTTTTCTACTTTCCACTAGATTGACTTAGTTTTCCTTATATCCCCTTTGGCCTTTCTGTGGGGTCAGAAACTGTACATTCTGGTCCTATGATTTTAGTGTCTACAGTTAAATTTTTAATCTATCCCCTTGACTTCAGGCTAATTATGGATAATTGAGTTAATCAATGTTTATGCTTTCCTTTCTGGCAATAAGGAAACTTAGAATATTTTTATTCAGATTATCTTGTAGCAATATGTATTTCCACATGGTTTTACGTCCTCAAAAACACTCATTGCTCTTGCTTTGTACAATTAGAGCATTTGAATTTACCCACATATTTGCCAGGTTTTTTTCACCATTTTGTCTCATATTTCACTGATTCCCTCTGGATTTGGTTTCCTTCTCCCCAAGAACATGCATTGATAGTTATTTCAGCATGTCAGTTGATGATAAAAAGTTTACCTTGTGTTTATTTGAAAATGACTATTTCAACTCTCATTCTTGAGTGATAGTTTCACTGGGTATAGAATTCTGGGTGGTCAATTACTATTTTCTCAGCACTTTTATCTTCTGTCATTGCTGGTGAGAAGTTTAGTGTTAGGACTTTGTTGGTAATCTTTCTTTACCTTTCACTTGATCAAGTGGATTACAATATCTTTCTTGGCTTTTATGTTCTATGGTTGTATTATGACATGTATTTATTTTTACTTATCCTGCTAGGATATTATTGGACATCTTGGATTTAAGGATTCATGTCTTTCATTAATTATACGAAAACATATTTTGGATAATGCCTCTGTTCAATTTTCTCTGCTCTCTCCTGCTAAAATTTCTATTACTTGCCTGTCAGACCTTCTCATTCTATCACTAAAGCTGCTTAACCTCTTTTTTTATATTTTCTGTCACTTGGTGTCTTTATGCGGCATTCTGAACATTTCCTCACATTTGTCTTTTAGTTCAAAGTTATGGTTGTTATTGTCTGCTGCTAAATCTTGTTTTATATATTAATGTAAAAGTTCATATTCAATAGTACAGTAGAGAAATTATGGTTAATAATAATTTATTATATAATTCAAAATAACTAGAAGAGAAGAATTGTAGTGTTCCCAGCACGAAGAAAAGATAAATGTTTGAGGTTTTGGATACCTCAATTACCCTGATTTGATTATTACAAATTGTGTACATGTATCAAAATATCACATGTGGCCCCAATATATGAACAGCTATATCAATATTTAAAAAGGCTTAATGTAAGAAAAAAGTTTATATATTACTCTATCAGAATTGTTTTAAATACTTAAAGTGCTTGTAGTCTCAGCTACTTGGGAGACTGAGGCAGGACAACCTCTTGAGCCCAGGAGTTGGAGTCCAGCTTGGGCAACATAAGGCGACCCCATCTTAAAAAATAAAAATAAAAATAAATTTACATTATGGTGAAATACAGTTATTTGTTTCTTTCATAATTGTATTTATTTAAAACATTTAAGAACAGCATTCTGAGAAGGGATCCCTAGGCTTCCATAGACTGCCATAAAGGTCATGGCACACAGAAAGTGGAGATTCTCATCTAAAAGGATGGGTTTTACATGTGATCCAAAATTTTTAGGTAGTTTTTAAGCAGAAGTTTTTGGTTTGGTAGTTCACAGTGTTGCCTGAAAAAGAGCCACATCACTGTTGGAGATGCCCAGGTGCATCCCCAGCACTGCCCGGCCCTGAGCTCATGGATGGGTCTGGCAGAATGGGGAGTGGGGGCAGGAGTGTACCAGGCTTAGTATTGAATGAGTCTGGCCTTCAATTAGCCCCCCTAGTTGAACAGGACGTGAAGGTGAAGATAGTTGGGCCAACAGTAAAGACACATTGACAGGTACCCAAAGATACTTCCTTTGGAAGGAAATTCTTCATGCTTGAGAGCTGAGAAAGGAAAAAGTAGGGGCTGAACTGCAGCTATGTGCCAGAGACTGGTCCAGGCATGGAGAGACAGGGATGTATTCCTACCAGGTGTGGCTCTCAACTCTGAGTAGTTCACAGTCCAAAAAAGGAGATCATTTATTTAAGGGGGAAACTGAGGCTCCCAATTGCTCACTGATTGTAATGGAAGGTAAAAGTGCAGATGTGCAAAATACAGATGTGTAAACAACTTCATAGTTTACAAACTGTTTTCATTCCACAGAAGTCTAATGAGCTTCCCTTTTAAAGATGGGAAAATTGAGGCTCAGAGGGCAAATCATGTCACTTCTCTGTGCCTCAGTTTCTTCATCTGTCAAATGGGGATAACAAGGGCACCAACCTCTTTGGGCTGATGTGAGAATTAAGTGAGTTGGTATACATGAAGTGCTTACAACCGAGACTATAGGAGAGGCAGCACAAGTGTTATTGATTAGTTATTACTCACCCATCACCCAGAATCTAGCCACCCTCACTGGCCCTAGACACGCCCTACTACAGAACCTTGTTCCGTTTTCTTTGTAGCACTTATCCTTGTCTGAAATTATACCTTCCTTTAACTCTATGCCTGATCATTATGAATCCCCCTAAAGATCACATGTACCTTGAGGACAGGGACCTCATCTGCAGCCCCAGCACCCTGGACATGGTGGCACTGGATAAATACTGCTTGTCTGCAAGGGACTAAGAAGCTGGTGGAGGTTGGATTTCAGGAAATCCTCAATTAATCTCAAGCCACAGGCCAGCCTCCTGCTATGAACCATGGAAATTGGCCTGGGAACTGCTACACACCTGATCAGCCACAGCCGTGACTGTCATCAGTGCCACCATGTGCAGCCCTGTCTCCTCCAGTGGTGTCCTCATTCCTGTGCTCCTGATGCTCTCTGCTTAGATTTCTATTTATAACCCCTTTTGGTAATGACTGGTTTTCTGGACAGTCTGGGAAGATCCTTACAGGCAGGAACTAAACTACAGATGGACCAGACTTGCAATGGTTCAACTTTCAATTTTTCAACTCTACAATGGTGAAAAAGCAATACATATTCAGCAGAAACTACTTCGAGTGTCCATACTACCATTCTGTTTTGGATTTCCAGTACAGTATTCAATAAATCCCATGAGGCCAGATGCGGTGACTCACACTTGTAATCCTAGCTCTTGAGGAGGCCGAGGTGGGCGGATCACATGAGCCCAGGAGTTGGAGACCAACCTGGGCAACATGGCAACCCTGTCTCTGCAAATTACAAAAATTAGCTGGGCATGGTGGTATGTGCCCGTGGTCCCAACTACTTGGGAGGTTGAGGTGGGAGGATCACTTGAGCCCAGGAAGTCAAGGCTGCAGTGAGGTGTGATAGTGACACTACACTACAGCCTGGGTGACAGAGCAAGACCCTGTCTCAAAAATCAATCAACAAATAATTAAAAATAAATTTCATAAGATATTCAACACTATATTATAAAAGAGGCTTTGTGTTAGATGATTTTGCCCACCTGTAGGCTAACGTAAGTGTTTTGAGCACATTTAAGGCAAGCTAGGCTAAGCTGTGATGCTCAGTAGGCTGAGTGTACTAAATAGATTTTCTACATAAGAGTGTTTTCAACTTACGATGGGTTCATTGTTACATAACCCCATAGTAAGTCGAGGAGCATCTGTCATCATCTCTGACTCCCCAGCCAGTGCCAGGCGTGTAGAAGGTGTTCGAATGAATGAATGAATGAATGATAGGTAACACCAGGATAGGGTTGCCAGATGCAAGACACCTAGTTGAACTTGAATTTCAGATAAATGATGAATGCTTTTCTACTATCAGTCTGTCCTAAATATGGCATGGTAAATACATTAAAAATTGTTTTCTGAAATTTAACTGGACATCCTGCGTTTTTATTTACTATTAATAAATCTGGCAACCTTATACCACCTGCAGCAAGGGACAGGAAGGGGTGGTTAGACAGAGAGGTCCAAGTTAAATGTGAGCCTGGGCCTGCTGGGGAGGTGGGTGTGGCAGGCACCATAGTGGTCAGAGCAGTGGTTTCTGAAATGTGGCCTTGGAGGATCCAATTCAGAGAAAGTGTCCAAGGGTCTAGGGTCAACCCCTCTGCCTCTGACCTCACAGGGACAGTCAGTGAGGACAAGATGAAAGACAATAAGACCAGGGCTCCGGCTAGTGGCTGCCAGAAGGGAGGGGAGAGGGAGGAAGATCACTTTGGATAAGGGGAACACCCTTATTTCAGGTCTAGCACACAACAGGCCCTCAAGAAAGATATCTTCACCTGCAAACACCACACATACACACACACACACACACACACACACAAACACACACACACACCCTGTGGCCGGCTCCATTCTGTCTTCCCCAAGCTAAGCACAGGCTTCAGAGACCACCAGCAGCATGAAGTATTGTGTTTATCCTCAGGACTCGCTGCTACCTTCCAACATTGACAAACTGCTCCATACATTTCTACAGAATTTTATAGCTTTTTCCAATTTAACTCCTTTTTTTTTTTTTTTTTTTTTTTTTTTTTGAGATGGAGTCTCCCTCTGTTGCCCAGGCTGGAGTTCAGTGGTGCAATCTCAGCTCACTGCAACCTCCACCTCCCAGGTTCAAGTGATCCTCCTGCCTCAGCCTCCCAAGTAGTTGGAACTACAGGTGCGTACCACCATGCCCGGCTAATTCTTGTGTTTTTAGTAGAGTCGGGTTTTCACCGCATTGGCCAGGCTGGTCTCAAACTCCTGACCTCAAGTGATCTGCCCATCTCAGCCTAGCAAAGTGTCGTAATGATTACAGGCATGAGCCACCATGCCCGGCCTCCAATTTAACTTTTTTATTATGGAAAACTTCAAGCACACACAGGAGTAGGAAAAGGATAACAAGCCCCCGGGCCCTTAGCCCAGATTTGAGGGCGGTTCTCCCACCCTTTGCATCTGCACTCTCCCCCGATCCCCCGCACCCACTCATGTCCTCTGTGCACCTTTTAAAGCAAAGCCCCACCATCACATCATTTTATCCAACTTTACAACTTTTAAGGGCTTTACAAACCTACCGAGCCCTCCCTGAGAGATGGGGATTGTCAGCCCCCATTTTACACATGTGGAAACTGAGGCTCAGAGAAGTGAAGTTCTTGTCCAAAGTGACATCACTGCCGAGGGGGGTGCTGGCACCCAGCCGCCCAGCCTTCCCAGGCCCTGAGACCCACGCTCTGTCCACAAGGCCCCACGCCAAGCCCATGGGGGCACAGAGCTGAGCCAGCCCTCTTCCTCTTCCCCAACCCGGGGCTCCAGACGGCTGGACTTTGATCCTTGCCAGGGCTGAATTCCAGATGGAGGGCTTCCCGGCTGCTTGGGCAATACGATTGATGGTGTGTTAATGATGTCAGGGCTATAGACAAACTCCAGCCTTGGCCGGGTGCAGAGGGCCAATTATCAGTGGTGATCGGAGCCAGGCACTCCGGCCCCATCAGCTCATGGGCAGGGAAGACGCAGGGAAGGGGACATGGGGACTTCTTGCAATGGAGCAGTTGACAGAATCAGAACTACCTGCCAGGTGAGAGCCAGAGGTGCCTGTTCCTTCAGGGTCTTAGGGTGGCTTCATGGTGTGGGAGACAGGAGTGTAAAGGGGACACTGAAACCCTCCACATGGGGTTCGTAGGAAGAGCACTGGATTCAAAGTCCAGCCACTGACTTGGCCACTGAGAATGACCTTGGCTCCCTCCTTCCCTCTCTGGGCCTCAGTTCATGCATCAATAACAAAAAACGATTGTACAGTTGGATGAGATCAGAGGTCAGCAAAGTTCTTCTGCAATGGGTCAGACAGTAAATCCTGCAGGCTTTGAAAACCACACTGTGGCAGGAAAGCAGCCATAGGCAATACCCAAACCAGTGGGCGTGGTGGTGTTCCAATAAAACTTTATTCACAAAAACAGGTGGCGGGCTGGGTTTGGCCCTCAGGCTGTAGTTTGCTGACCCCAGGTCACAAAAGGTTATTTGAGCTCCTCATAAATGTGGGAAACAGATATGTAGCTCTCTGTTAGGGTTCACAAACTCACACCTACAGGGGCCGGGCAGGGAACGTGAATGAATAAAACAAACGTCAGTGCAAGGCGTTAGGGCATGGTAAGGATTGCAGCAAACTGGCCAGTCCGTGTCCGAATTAAAAATGGATGGGCTGGGGGGCTTCTACGGGGCTCCAGACTCCAGTCAGTCACTACCAGGTGGAAATATAGATCTTGCTCCCAGATATAAGTGATCGCTCAAGAGAAGGTAAAAATCTGTTTTTTTTTTAGAAAAAAAAAAGTGAATTATCCTATTTTGAAATGTTGGCTACTGATTCAAACTTTTTAAAAACACTGTGCAGTCCAAATCCATCCTGCAGAGGCAAAGGCCGTATTAGGCCCAAGGATCACCCACTTGTAAACTCTGCCCTACGTTTAGAGGACATTTTTGCCCTTCAGGAACCGTGTTAGTAATTCGCAAAAGCACAGGGGTGATTTAGGGTCTTGAGCTCAGTGGACAGTATTGCTGCTTTCCCCGACATCGTGGACGCCCACAGGCAGATGGAAA